>NC_000009.12:30919090-31070606 GCF_000001405.40 Homo sapiens | reverse complement strand
ATCTAATTGTCACAATGTGTAAATGCCTCCTATCTGCCCCAGGCTCTGCTGTTTTATTTTCCACTCTATTATCCATGCTTAGCATAACATATAGGAAATTCTCTTCTCTTCCCTGAATCTGGGTAGTAAGCACATTGAGTCATGATTGACATCTATGACTCCATATTCTTGATTTCTGGGGGTTGGTGACCGCAAGCCATTACTTCAATTTAGATGGCTAAATAATTTTCATTATTCAGATGACATATTGCCATACCCCTTTACAAATAATGGAGACAATATTAAGCAAATTGATTGTGATCACACATTTGATTCCTTTTTGTCAATTCAATTTTATTAATACTAAAGTTAAAATGTTGATTTACTTCTTTATGATTCTCACTGTGTATATGTGGTGTGTTTGTCTGTGTGTGTGTTTGTGTGTTTTCCTCCAATAGCATTAGCAGTTTCAGTGGTCGAGAGGATATGGTTAATTATTCACCACAAATGATGTTTTGTCTGGGAGACAATGAGAAACACAGAGGAAATTACATTTGATAACCAATGCAAATAAAGTTAGGTATATTCAAGTGTAGGTATAATAAAGTCATGTAGTCTTAAGTGTAGCCATTAGTGTTGGAGACATTAGTAAGATCAAGCTTTCCAGTTGAAGCCACTTTCACTGTGACTGTTCTCCATTATTAGGTAGTTATTTTTTTACCTGGTATAATATTTTGGGGTTTTGGTACCTAACAACTTTTTGAGTTTTAATTGTTGACATTAACCTATCTAGGAGTAGCATAGACTTAGAATACAGAGTTGTCTTTTAATTTCTGATTACTGTCTATGTTTCCTCTGGATTACCACTTGGATGGCAGGCTAAACATTTAACTATAGAAGAAAGCTAACTTGTACATGAGACAGATTATTTATGTATGGGATGTTTTGCTATTGCTAATATTCTAGTGGTGAGCATTAGTGGATGGTATATTAAAGGACTCAAATTCTGTTCCTCTTTATATTATTTCAAACTCTGTGTAGAGCCAAGATAATATGGCAATCTCTTTTTATGTGGGTAGAAGTTTAGGGGTGGATATAAATCCTAAAGTCATTGATCATCACTCATATCTAGTTAGCATGTGATGAGTTTGTAATACATAAGTTTTAATCATGGTTTTGAAATTTAAGGACCCAGTGAGAACCCAGAAAAGAAACAAATATAAAAACACTTTTTTAAAGCTACAGATATGGAATCACTAATATGAGTGGTTGGGGAATTATTCGTTATTTAAAATTTTAAAAGCATTTTGAAGTGTAAAGACAAAAATTGGACAATATTGAGCAAGTATATGAGGGCATTGTTTACTAGATTCAAAATTACACAGTTATTGCATAATAATTACATAGTTATTACAGGAAACATATATCTGGGTTATAAATAAAGGGAAAAGAAAAAATGAAAGCAAACAAGCCCTCAGCTCCAATAAACAGTCCAGCTTTACACCTAGTAGAAAAGTGAACAAATTAAGAAGTTTATGAAATTAAGCATCTCACCTTAGTTATCTACAAAAGAGTGTGGATAGAAGAATGGAAAACATAACACTAGAGAAATATATATTTTAGACTGCAAAATGTTTCTACTATTTTTGAAGTTAGCAAAAGTTACTGAATTCTAAAATTAAAGATCTTAGAAAAAATTTTGTTTTATGGTAGGGGTAGTACAGCTGTTGTGTCTATCCTCACTGGAACCCTACTAAGTAAAGCGTCTTCAAAATTTTAATACCAGCTTTAGTTCAGGATTTTAATTGGGTGTTTACCACCAGAAAAAAAAAATATGAGCACAGTGGAAAAACTGTACAAAAGACGTTTTGAATTTGAAGACATTTTGAAACAACAGGCAGGCAGTAACAAAAGTCAGTGTCAGTTCATCAGAGAGAGAGAAAAGAAATGGCATCGATGAGTCCAGATTTCCTGCAGCATTAAAATGTCTAAAAGAGGGTTCAAAGGAAAAATAGAAGTGATGAGATTTTATGTTTATGGCCTGAGGAAAATTAGACACATAAGGAGTTGACAAAGTGAGAGGGGGGTCATCATTGCAATTTTTAGAATTTTCAATAAGTCAAAAATGTACAGGATGTTATATTATCTATGAAGATACAGGCAGATTTTCCCTCAAATTTATTGATCATATTACCATCACTCTCTTGGTGAGTAACTTTTCATAATTACATTTAAGTTCATTTTTTTTTTCTTTTTACAGTTGCAATAGACTAAAATCTTGGTGAGGCTAAATGCAAGAAAATATGTATTTTTTTCCAAGTTTTTCACTGCTACCCCCTACTCCCTAGTACTCTGAGCCTTTTTTTTTTTTTTTTTTTTGCCATTTTTTAATAACAGTAAGCAATGTGTGTCTGGCTTATGCTAAGTGTCAAGATATGGGACCATTTCCTTTTTTCTTTTTCCTAGGGTAATTATCATAAGGTCTGAAAATTTTCTTGCACATTTGTAATTTTGTGAGCTATAATAATCCTATTTGCATTATTAACTCTGGCCTCATTAAGTATTGTGACATATTAAATGTTCTGAATTAACTTGTAAATCTTAAGCCAAAAATTATCAATAAAACTGCTGAGTAACCCTGTTTCTATGCAGGTATCTAACTGAGACTCTGTGGCTGAGAGTCATCAGAATTAAGAAAATGGGTTGGAAAGAAATACAGACTTTCATTTCTTTTGGTTTTAACTTACAAGGAGAAGCCTAATTCTTTTTATACTTCAATGTCTCCTTAGGTGTTTGATAATAGAAAGGGGATTCTATTGACCAAATTCTATCAGGTTTATACCACTGATTTTTTTCATTACATAATGTCTGGGGATCTCTGTTGAGCAGTTTGGCTGGGGATAATCTGAAGTGAGTAATAAAAGAGGAAATGAAGCTCCAGCCTACAGAGCAGTTTGGTCTGAAAGGTAACTTAATTGATATAATAGATTAGAGTTTTCTAGGGCAAACGCTGTACTGCTTAACAATGGTCACCAAGGAAGTGCAATTCGTTTGGGAGTGGTCTCATAAAAGTGAGAGTGAACCTGAATTACATATTTATACTCTGTTTCTTCAAGGGGAGAACCTCAGAGTTGACAGCAACCTGAACTGCTAAGCTCAATGGGTTTAGATAACCAAATGTGGGAATTATTAAGTGGCACCCTATCCTCCTCATGCTGTTAAATCTGGGAGGAGTTATTTGCTTTCAGAGAAAAGTACTAGAGTTTCTGGTCTCTCTCCCCATCTCACATAATCAGACGCAGTTATACTGATCTGATTAATGGGATTGGAAACAAGGTCTAGGAATATAAAATTGAAGTTCTTTTCTTCTCTTTTTAGGATAGACTGCTTTAGGATAAAGATGCTATCCTCTCTTTCTCTGATTTTTATGAAACAGGACCATTGGGTTAGAGTTCCTGGATGAATTTTAATACACAGCTCAGGAAACCTATCTATAGTTGACTCACTACCCAGCAAATATGAGGGTTATGTAGCAATTCTGTCAGCACAACAGATTAGGGTTTGCTGGAAGACTCTACCACCTGTCAATACTACGGGTTTAAGCTATAAGGCTGTGATAATTTAAGATGTGGCTATAGTTACATATTCAACAACTGTTTCAGGAATCAAGCTGATAACCAACCTCCATCTATTTGACACTTGTGTGTGTCTCATTTTTTCTGTAATTGGTAATATGAATGAATATTATTTGTGATTATGTATACATGTATACATTTATTTTTGCCTTCCAGTGTCCCTTCAAATTTCACTCTATATGAATCATGTGCCTCATCTCTTAGTGAAAATAACAGCAACCTTCATGGCTTTTCTGTTAATATTCATGTATTTGACACCTGTATGGTCACTTCGACCCACTGGGTATTTATGAGCAAAAACCTATTATTAGTTCAGCAATTTGAGTCTTTAACATTATACATATTTTGAAGCTATGACACCCGCTTCCCCTCAGTCAGTACTCACAGAGCTTTCTGCAATAGCCAACATGACTTTTTGCATCATAGCTGTGTTATCTATGTAATGCTTACAGATTTAAGAACTTGGAACCCAGAATTCTCCAAATGACCATTTTAGGATGGGTTGTCTTCATTTACAGAGGGAATAAGAGTTAACCAGGCTACAATCAGTATAGACACATCAATGAGGATCCTGTGATCTTGACAGAACATAGCAGTTTTCCTGAACATACTGAATACCAGAGCAATAGAACAGTTTTAACCAAAATCTAAGCATTCCAGTACTCTCTTCATAAATACTGCCATATTAGCAAGTCACCTTGACTGTTATTTATTTATATTTTGTAAGTCAAAGCAAGTCTTTTATCAAAGTAAATTAATCTATAAAGGTAACTTTATTTAGTATCATAAATGAAAAATCAGTATACTTTTGTGTTTTGCAGTTGATGTCTGTGCAGTGTGTGTAATTCCTTTCTATTTTGAGGGAATTCTTCTCAGTGTGAGTTTTGATGGTAGAGGGAATATACCTTCTACAAGAGAAATTGGAAATACTACTCCAGCTCTCAAGCAGCTTGCTGATCAAGGTACCTACACTGGATTTTCAAATCTGGAACTAGTTCTTAAGAGGTGAATTTATTTTGTTTGAGGCAGTGGCAATGACAGCAGCCAATTTCTCAGAGCAGCAGTGGCAGAGCTGCGAGCAATAGGAGTTGGAATTTAAGACTGGGGGTGGCCGTGTCATACACTGTGGTAGGTGGCTCGGCAGCTGCAGCAACAGCAGCAGAATCTTCATGACTCTGCCTCAGCTTGGCTGTGTGAATAATTCTATATGACTAGCTTGCCATGTTCTTGCAATATTTTTTTCTAAAATAATTTCTTCAAACTCTTAAAATTCATTGATTTTCCCAATTATTTTTGATAAAAACATTTTCTATATTAATAACCAAAGTACATTTTTGTTGCACACAACTAAGGCCCTTGGATGACATTTATACAATACAAAATGTTTACAAATGCAAATACAATAAAAACAATCATATGTCATCTGAAAGTGTTAGGTAGTACTTGGATGGTACCCATATAATTCTTTGGAAATAATTCATTCTTAATATCTTCACAAAGGCATTTGGAAATTAAAGCTACTTCTATTAGGAATAGAGATAGGAGGGATTTGGAGAGAATAAAATGGTAACTAATGAAATGAAAGCAGAAATTTGAGAACAGTTAAGATTTAACAAAAAGTTAATCCAAAGGCTAGAGTTTTACTGGACACAATAAGATGGATCTTACAGGTTCTGAAATCCAAAAAATTATATTTAACATTCTTGGATAGTCAAGTGTATTTTGGGAAAAGTCCCGAACATCTGGCTATAGCCATCTATTTGGACAGGTAAGGGTATAAGGAAAGAGAGTAGGACCAGAGATGGGTGCTGTGAAATCAAGAGTGGGAGAAAATCTTGCTCTGTCACCCAAGCTGGAGTGCAGTGGCACAATCTAGGCTCACTGCAAACTCCACCTCCCAGGCTCAAGTGATTTCGTGCCTCAGCCGCCCAAGTAGCTGGGATTACAGGCATGCATCACCATGCCCGGATATATTTTTTGATTTTTAATAGAAGTAGGGTTTCGCCATGTTGGCCAGGCTGGTCTCAAACTCCTGAGCTCAGGCAATCTGCCTGTCTCGGCCTCCCAATATGCTGGGATTACAGGCATGAGACACCGTGTCTGGCCATTCTCCACATATCTTGAACCCTTAATTTACTCTCTCTTGGATATGCCTATTTTTTAAATTTTCAAACTTTATCCTAATTGACAAATAATAATTTCATGTATTGTATATTTGTGAGGTACAATAATATGTTTTGATAAATGTTTATATTGTGGAATGATTAAATCCATTTACCTTACATGCTTATGTTGTTTTTTGGTGAAAATATTTAAAATCTGTTCTTTCAGCAATATCGAAATATATATTATTATTTATTATGGTCATGATTCTGTGCAATATTCAAATTTGTTTCTCCTATCTAACTGAAATTTTGTGTCCTTCAATTAATGCCTTTGCTTTCCCCATCCATCCTCCCTAACACCAGCCTCTGGTAACCACCATTCTACTCTCCACTTCTATGAGTTTAACTTTTTCAGATTCTGCATGTAAGTGAGATCATGTGGTATCTATCTTTCTGTGCCAGGCTTATGTCACTTGACATAATGTCCTCCAGGTTCATCCATGTTGTTTCAAATGACAAAATCTTCTTTTTTAAAGGCAGAATAGTATTTCACTGTGTATATATAAAATATATACACAATGTCTCTATATCTGTCTATCTATCTATATTTCCACACTGTTTTCAAGATTTCTTCTCCTTCATTTACAAAGGGCATGCACTCAATAGTCAAAAGTGGTTTTGTATGTGCTTTTTTTGTAATAGAAATATGAGTATAGTTCCAAGATCAGGAAAAGGGTAAGAAGAAGGTTTCATATGAAGAACAAAAAACATAGTACTGTAATCACACATAATTTCACCTACACAAATAGTTTACCTACACATAATTTACCTACTACATAATTTCTAAATACTTGGTTTATTTAACCATTTTATTTTTCCAAATATTCATTCAAATCATATAAAATTATTGCATTTGATCAAAATTATTTTAGGTTGAATATTGACACTTAGTCTGACACAGTGATTCAACTTAAAACCCATATGCTAAGAAACATACTGGTAGTTTTAACATTGAAAAAATCCGTTACCTAGGAATTCTAATACTAATTGTAGAAATACGTTTTGAACCAATGGCTTTGTAGATTAATACACTTGAGGAATATGTACCCATATGAAACTCAATAATATTTGAGTGGAGAACTTAAAAAAATTATTGTATTAACAGGTTGAGTGGAATTTTTTCTACTGTTTTGGATTTGTGGCTAAAACACAAAGGGAGAAAATATTTTTACATTTTCAAGGAAACAATTAACTAGCTGCCAGGATTTCACAAAGAGCTTTTGCTAAGCCATATCTGATTCAACCTGACTACCCTACAAATCTCCTTTGTGTATACATGGTGGACAGGAGCTAACGGAAAGACAGTTGACCTGTTATCTTTGTGGTGAAAAGTTCTCCAGGTAAAAAAAAAAGGAAGATATCACCCACCGCCTTCCAAAATCCAAGTGAGAGGGAAAAATTAGAAGGGAATATCTGAAAGAGAAGTAGAGTGACATTTCTTTTCTGGGCTGGGCATCTAATTAGACATTATATATGCTCATTTGTGTGTGTGTGTTTTACCTAAACAGATAAAGGAAAACTGGAGACAAGTGGGCTTAGAGAAGAAGTAGCAGTGGAATACCCTGTAGTTTCATACTTCGGTTTGTCAACAATCTGTGAAATTCTTATAGATTTAGTGTTCACCATGGAAGGTAGCCAGGCTTTAGTTATTTTGCAGAAACTTTCAAAAATAATGTTGCACGATGGACCATCAATCCTAACCTGAGGGAAGAGGTAAGAGATGGATTTTAAGCCAGAATTTCCATAGCAGATAACTGCAATAAATAATTATTTCAAGGCAATGGGAAGAACCCACATACAAATGTTCTTTTACAGATGATGGGATTGCAATCTGATAAACCCATTATAAATTCAAAATATAATAAGTAAAAAATGCATTTGTTGGAGTTAATCTACTAAATATCATATTCATTTTATACATATTATATGTATAGCTTAGCCTGGCTTACCTTACACATGCTCAGCACACTTATGTTAGCCTCCAGTTCAATAAAATAACCTAACACAAACCCTGTTTATAATAAAGTGTTAAATATCTCATGTACTTTATTGAGTACTGTACTAAAAGTGAAAAACAGAATGGTTGAATGAATACTTGAAGTTTGGTTTCTATAGACTGTATATCACTTTTACACCATCGTAAACTCAAAAAACTTGTAAGGCTAGCCATCTTAAGTCAGAGACTGACTGTAGGTGCACAAACAACAGTCAGTACTTGAATACCTGAGATATGGCTTCCGTGGCCATGACTTCCATGGCTACAAACAGTGTATTGTAAATGTTCAAACAAAATACAAGAAAAAGAGAAAACTAACCTAATACTACTTCACATAGTTCATGAGGAGATATTTGCTCTTTTCTTCTCTCTATTCTATATTGGAAAATCCCTAAGGCCTGGAAGATATGGTGGTGGGTAAGGAGTAGAATATGTTCCAGTCCCTGTTCCCAAACCATCAACCCATACACTCAACCTATACTGAGAGAGAGGAGAACTTTGAATTTGCATTGAGATCAAAGATTAAAAGTTTGCTAAGTTTCAGTAATTGGAAAAGACTGACACATTGTAAGACCTGCCCAAGCTGTTGCTAAGAGATAAGAAAAGGTGGGGGGTGCGAGCCAAGATGGCCGAATAGGCACAGCTCCGGTCTACAGCTCCCAGCGTGAGCAACGCAGAAGACGGGTGATTTCTGCATTTCCATCTGAGGTACCGGGTTCATCTCACTAGGGAGTGCCAGACAGTGGGTGCAGGACAGTGGGTGTAGCGCACTGTGGGCAAGCAGAAGCAGGGCGAGGCACTGCCACACTTGGGAAGTGCAAGGGGTCAGGGAGTTCCCTTTCCTAGTCAAAGAAAGGGGTGACAGATGGCACGTGGAAAATCCGGTCACTCCCACCCGAACACTGTGCTTTTCTGACGGGCTTAAAAAATGGCACACCAGGAGATTATATCCCTCACGTGGCTCAGAGGGTCCTACGCCCACGAAGTCTCGCTGACTGCTAGCACAGCAGTCTGAGATCAAACTGCAAGGCGGCAGCGAGGCTTGGGGAGGGGCGCCCGCCATTGCCCAGGCTTGCTTAGGTAATCAAAGCAGCCGGGAAGCTCGAACTGGGTGAAGCCCACCACAGCTCAAGGAGGCCTGCCTGCCTCTGTAGGCTCCACCTCTGGGGGCAGGGCACAGAGAAATAAAAAGACAGAAGTAACTTCTGCAGAATTAAATGTCCCTGCGAGCTTTGAAGAGAGCAGTGGTTCTCCCAGCACGCAGCTGGAGTTCTGCGAACAGGCAGACTGCCTCCTCAAGTGGGACCCTGACCCCTGACCCCCGAGCAGCCTAACTGGGAGGCACTCCCCAGTAGGGGCAGACTGACACCTCACACGGCTGGGTACTCCTCTGAGACAAAACTTCCGGAGGAACGATCAGACAGCAGCATTCCTGGTTCATGAAAATCCACTGTTCTGCAGCCACTGCTGCTGATACCCAGGCAAACAGGGTCTGGAGTGGACCTCTAGCAAACTCCAACAGACCTGCAGCTGAGGGTCCTGTCTGTTAGAAGGAAAACTAACAAACAGAAAGGACAACCACACCAAAAACCCATCTGTACATCACCATCATCAAAGACCAAAAGTAGATAAAACCACAAAGATGGGGAAAAAACAGAGCAGAAAAACTGGAAACTCTAAAAAGGAGAGCGCCTCTCCTCCTCCAAAGGAATGCAGTTTCTCACCAGCAACGGAACAAAGCTGGATGGAGAATGACTTTGACGAGTTAAGAGAAGAAGGCTTCAGATGATCAAACTACTCCGAGCTACAGGAGGCAATTCAAACCAAAGGCAAGGAAGTTAAAAACTACGAAAAAAATTTAGACGAATGTATAACTAGAATAACCAATACAGAGAAGTGCTTAAAGGAGCTGATGGAGCTGAAAGCCAAGGCTCGAGAACTACGTGAAGAATGCAGAAGCCCCAGGAGCCGATGCGATCAACTGGAAGAAAGGGTATCAGTGATGGAAGATGAAATGAATGAAATGAAGCGAGAAGGGAAGTTTAGAGTAAAAAGAATAAAAAGAAACAAACAAAGCCTCCAAGAAATATGGGACTATGTGAAAAGACCAAACCTGCATCTGATTGGTGTACCTGAAAGTGACGGGGAGAATGGAACCAAGTTGGAAAACACTCTGCAGGATATTATCCAGGAGAACTTCCCCAATCTAGCAAGGCAGGCCAACATTCAGATTCAGGAAATACAGAGAAAGCCACAAAGATACTCCTCGAGAAGAGCAACTCCAAGACACATAATTGTCAGATTCACCAAAGTTGAAATGAAGGAAAAAATGTTAAGGGCAGCCAGAGAGAAAGGTCGCATTACCCACAAAGGGAAATCCATCAGACTAACAGCGGATCTCTCGGCAGAAATTCTACAAGCCAGAAGACAGTGGGGACCAATATTCAACATTCTTAAAGAAAAGAATTTTCAACCCAGAATTTTATATCCAGCCAAACTGAGCTTCATAAGTGAAGGAGAAATAAAATCCCTTACAGACAAGCAAATGCCGAGAGATTTTGTCACCACCAGGCCTGCCCTACAAGAGCTCCTGAAGGAAGCGCTAAACATGGAAAGGAACAACCGGTACCAACCACTGCAAAATCATGCCAAAATGTAAAGACCATCAAGACTAGGAAGAAACTGCATCAACTAACGAGCAAAATAACCAGCTAACATCATAATGACAGGATCAAATTCACATATAACAATATTAACTTTCAATGTAAATGGACTAAATGCTCCAATTAAAAGACACAGACTGGCAAATTGGATAAAGAGTCAAGACCCATCAGTGTGCTGTATTCAGGAAACCCATCTCACGTACAGAGACACACAGAGGCTCAAAATAAAAGGATGGAAGAAGATCCACCAAGCAAATGGAAAACAAAAAAAGACAGGGGTTGCAAACCTAGTCTCTGATAAAACAGACTTTAAACCAACAAAGATCAAAAGAGACAAAGAAGGCCATTACATAATGTTAAAGGGATCAATTCAACAAGAAGAGCTAACTATCCTAAATATATATGCACCCAATACAGGAGCACCCAGATTCATAAAGCAAGTCCTGAGCGACCTACAAAGAGACTTAGACTCCCACACAAGAATAATAGGAGACTTTAACACCCCAGTGTCAACATTAGACAGATCAACGAGACAGTAAGTTAACAAGGATACCCAGGAATTGAACTCAGCTCTGCACCAAGCGGACCTAATAGACATCTACAGAACTCTCCACCCCAAATCAACAGAATATACATTTTTTTCAGCACTACACCACACCTATTCCAAAATTGACTACATGGTTGGAAGTAAAGCTCTCCTCAGGAAATGTAAAAGAACAGAAATTATAACAAACTGTCTCTCAGACCACAGTGCAATCAAACTAGAACTCAGGATTAAGAAACTCACTCAAAACCTCTCAACTACATGGAAACGGAACAACCTGCTCCTGAATGACTACTGGGTACATAACGAAATGAAGGCAGAAATAAAGATGTTCTTTGAAACCAACGAGAACAAAGACACAACATACCAGAATCTCTGGGACACATTCAAAGCAGTGTGTAGAGGGAAATTTATAGCACTAAATGCCCACAAGAGAAAGCAGGAAAGATCCAAAATTGACAACCTGACATCACAATTAAAATAACTAGAAAAGCAAGAGCAAACACATTCAAAAGCTAGCAGAAGGCAAGAAATAACTAAAATCAGAGCAGAACTGAAGGAAATAGAGACACAAAAAACCCTTCAAAAAATTAATGAATCCAGGAGCTGCTTTTTTGAAAGGATCAACAAAATTGATAGACCGCTAGCAAGACTAATAAAGAAGAAAAGAGAGAAGAATCAAATAGACGCAATAAAAAATGATAAAGGGGATATCACCACCAATCCCACAGAAATACAAACTACCATCAGAGAATACTATAAACACCTCTACGCAAATAAACTAGAAAATCTAGAAGAAATGGACAAATTCCTTGACACATACACCCTCCCAAGACTAAACCAGGAAGAAGTTGAATCTCTGAATAGACCAATAACAGGCTCTGAAATTGTGGCAATAATCAACAGCTTACCAACCAAAAAGAGTCCAGGACCAGATGGATTCACAGCCGAATTCTACCAGAGGTACAAGGAGGAACTGGTACCATTCCTTCTGAAACTATTCCAATCAATAGAAAAAGAGGGAATCCTCCCTAACTCATTTTATGAGGCTGGCATCATCCTCATACAAAAGCCAGGCAGAGACACACCAAAAAACAGAATTTTAGACCAATATCCTTGATGAACATTGATGCAAAAATCCTCAATAAAATACTGGCAAACTGAATCCAGCAGCACATCAAAAAGCTTATCCACCATGATCAAGTGGGCTTCATCCCTGGGATGCAAGCCTGGTTCAATATATGCAAATCAATAAATGTAATCCAGCATATAAACAGAGCCAAAGACAAAAACCACATGATTATCTCAATAGATGTAGAAAAGGCCTTTGACAAAATTCAACAGCGCTTCATGCTAAAAACTCTCAATAAATTACGTATTGATGGGATGTATCTCAAAATAATAAGAGCTATCTATGACAAACCCACAGCCAATATTATACTGGATGGGTAAAAGCTGGAAGCATTCCCTTTGAAAACTGGCACAAGACAGGGATGCCCTCCCTCACCACTCCTATTCAACATAGTGTTGGAAGTTCTGGCCGGGGCATTTAGGCAGGAGAAGGAAATAAAGGGCATTCAATTAGGAAAACAGGAAGTCAAATTGTCCCTGTTTGCAGATGACATGATTGTACACCTAGAAAACCCCATTGTCTCAGCCCAAAATCTCCTTAAGCTGATAAGCAATTTCAGCACAGTCTCAGGATACAAAATCAATGTACAAAAATCACAAGCATTCTTATACACCAATAACAGAGAAACAGAGAGCCAAATCATGAGTGAACTCACATTCACATTGCTTCAAAGAGAATAAAAGACCTAGGAATCCAACTTACAAGGGATGTGAAGGACCTCTTCAGGGAGAAATACAAACCACTGCTCGATGAAATAAAAGAGGATACAAAGAAATGGAAGAACATTCCATGCTCATGGGTAGGAAGAATCAGTATTGTGAAAATGGCCATACTGCTCAAGGTAATTTATAGATTCAGTGCCATCCCCATCAAGCTACAAATGACTCTTCACAGAATTGGAAAAAACTACTTTAAAGTTCATATGGAATCAAAAAAGAGCCCGCATCACGCTACCTGACTTCAAACTATACTACAAGCCTACAGTAACCAAAACAGCATAGTACTGGTACCAAAACAGAGATATAGATCAATGGAACAGAACAGAGCCCTCAGAAATAATGCCGCATATATACAACTATCTGATCTTTGACAAACCTGAGAAAAACAAGCAAGGGGAAAGGATTCCCTATTTAATAAATGATGCTGGGAAAACTGGCTAGCCATATGTAGAAAGCTGAAACTGGATCCCTTCCTTACACCTTATACAAAAATTAATTCAAGATGGATTAAAGACTTAAACGTTAGACCTAAAACCATAAAGACCCTAGAAGAAAACCTAGGCATTACCATTCAGGACATAGGTATGGGCAAGGACTTCATGTCTAAAACACCAAAAGCAATGGCAGCAAAAGCCAAAATTGACAAATGGGATCTAATTAAACTAAAGAGCTTCTGCACAGCAAAAGAAACTACCATCAGAGTGAACAGGCAACCTACAAAATGGGAGACAATTTTCGCAACCTACTCATCTGACAAAGGGCTAATATCCAGAATCTACAATGAACTCAAACAAATTTACAAGAAAAAAACAAACAACTCCATCAACAAGTGGGTGAAGGACATGAACAGACACTTCTCAAAAGAAGACATTTATGCAGCCAAAAAACACATGAAAAAATGCTCACCATCACTGGCCATCAGAGAAATGCAAATCAAAACCACAATAAGATACCATCTCACACCAGTTAGAATGGCGATCATTAAAAAGTCAGGAAACAACAGGTGCTGGAGAGGATGTGGAGAAATAGGAACACTTTTACACTGTTGGTGGGACTGTAAACTAGTTCAACCATTGTGGAAGTCAGTGTGGTGATTCCTCAGGGATCTAGAACTAGAAATACCACTTGACCCAGCCATCCCATTACTGGGTATATACCCAAAGGACTATAAATCACGCTGCTATAAAGACACATGCACATGTATGTTTATTGCGGCACTATTCACAATAGCAAAGACTTGGAACCAACCCAAATGTCCAACAATGATAGACTGGATTAGGAAAATGTGGCACATATACACCATGGAATACTATGCAGCCATAAAAAATGATGAGTTCATGTCCTTTGTAGGGACATGGAAGAAACTGGAAATCATCATTCTCAGTAAACTATTTCAAGAACAGAAAACCAAACACTGCATATTCTCACTCATAGGTGGGAATTGAACAATGAGAACACATGGACACAGGAAGGGGAACATCACACTCTGGGGCCTGTGGTGGGGTGGGGGCAGGGCGGAGGGATACATTAGGAGATATACCTAATGCTAAATGACGAGTTAATGGGTGCAGCACACCAGCATGGCACATGTATACATATGTAACTAACCTGCACATTGTGCACATGTAACCTAAAACTTAAAGTATAATAATAATAAAATAAAATAAAATAAAATAAAAGGGAATTTGACAGAACATAGCTAAAAACAGTTATTGGAGAATAAATCTGTTACATATTTTTATACTTAAGGATAGTAAGTTTCTTCATTAAAATCATATTAGTAAAAAAGTAATGAATAATAGATTATTGAATAATGATTAAGTAATTGAACTTATGATTCTCTTTATCAGAGTACAAAGCAAAATATAGAATGAAAGGTTTGAAGAGCATTTTTGAGACTTATGTTTTCATTGGTGTGCTGGAAAGATATCCTCTTTGAAGAGTTAATAGCTTTATAAGGATCCTTTGCTCAGATCAAACAGATCTTCATCACAAAAGGTATGTTCACCTCCCCAAAAGCAAAGTAGCCAAGATGACAAGGAAGATAAAAGAAATATTTGCTTCAAAATATATCAAGTCCTTGCTTTGCAGAGTACAGATTGAAAAAAAAAGGCAAAAATTCAGTAAGTTGCTTTGACGTTGTACAAAAGATCACAGAAAATGGATTCTTTCTTAATCTTCCTCCCAATTCACTCAAACCACAATTACTTCTCTCACGGATAATGGCAACTATGAACTATCCATGTAATGTGTTTGTGTGTGTGTGTGTGTGTGTGTGTGTTTGTGTGTGTGTGTGTGCACGCGCGCATGTTTGTGTCTTTCTGGCATAAAATGTTTTGATTCCATAACTTTCATACATTTTTCTTCTTAAAGACATTGTTTGCCTTTTGATGATATTATATGAACTTGACTGGAGCTCCTAATGTGTTTCATTACGTTTTTACCAGAAGGAGTCATGCACTGAATGTACTAATTAAAGTTAAAACAATTTTATGTATTTTGACTTTTGGAATTTTTTTAGATACAAAGACATTCATAACTACAATAAACATTAGCAATAATTTATAAAATCCAGTACTGTTTTGTCTCTTGACAATAATATGTAATGATATTATTTGAGAGAATTTACAAATTCCCTTTCACGATAATGAATTCAAAGGTTTAGGGATGTCACCTCAATAACCTAATGTTATTTTTAAAATCCTGTCTCTTCCAAATACATTTTGTCAAATGCAATTTCTAATATGTATGTATAATTTTTAAAATTTTTTCATGTAGTTAAATTTAGAGTATTAAATTTGTATTTGGCTACCTTTTCTCCCCAGAACAAGGATAGCTGTTATTATTATTTATCATGATCCTATTTTTCATTAAAAAATACCAATTTGTCAATTAATTAAAAGTATGTTTATTCAATTGTATTGGTATATGTATTCATCTCCAAATAAACATGACAAGTAAATGTGAGCTTGGCAAGTAAATGTGACTGAAGGGTTGGTCTTCAAGATTAGGCTGGCTATAATTTTTATTATTATATTGAATTATAGTATTCAACAACATGCAAATTTATTCTTCTTTCAGTAAAATTTATTGTTCTTCCATAGCTAGTAGCCAGTACTTTCATTTTCACCCTAATCCTGAATAAGCCCATTGACATCTAAATACAGTGGACACATCTAACATATGAAAGTTTAGAATATTTGGACTTGGGAATTGAAGAAATTTAGCAGTAATTATGAGGTCTTATTCAGTTGTGACCTGATGGTTTTGTTTCTTATAATTTATCATGTTTAACTCAGGTAGCGGTATCTTAACTTTTCAAATGTCATTGAAAATATTCTATGGATTTAAAGGATTCAATGGATTTTTCTGAAATTTAACCTTTAAATTCAACCTTTAAAAAATGAAGGAGTATAAATCTGTAAACATACAGGTAGGAATACTTGATCATTTATCTTTTTAAATTATTCATCAAACAATAATAAAAAGTAAATGGCTATATAGACTGAAAAAGATTGAGATTTTATATATGTACTTGTGTGTATTTATGCAAATACATGTAAAATAAAATGTGGATCTGCTTTCAATATATCTTTTTTATCTTGTAATAGTTCCAATAACTCCCATTCTCTAATTATTTTTGGGCTGAATATATTACTTTGCTCAAGGGCCTAGATTATTTTTCATGAACACATTATCTAGCCATCACTCTTGAGCAGATAATTATTTTAGGAAGTTTAATTAACAGAAGATTTCATATAAGAAAACTGAAGTTGGAAATTTCCTTTCCTTATGAAATCTCATTCAGTGTTTAAAAGTTATCTTTTTATTATGAGAAATTGAAGAGGGAGATACCTCCTAATTTCTAGGCTTAGAATATATACAGTACTGTTCCTCATAGGTGGGCCCATACTTTCCTCTGCAGTGTGATTTTAAAAATGTTTGAAAATAAAACAATATTCTCTTTGAAGCAATTGTGAATGTGAGTTCACTCATGATTTGGCTCTCTGTTTGTCTGTTATTGGTGTATAAGAATGCTTGTGATTTTTGCACATTGATTTTGTATCCTGAGACTTTGCTGAAGTTGCTTATCAGCTTGAGGAGATTTTGGGCTGAGACAGTGGGGTTTTCTAAATATACAATCATGTCATCTGCAAACAAGGACAATTTGACTTCCTGTTTTCCTAATTGAATACCCTTTATTTCTTTCTCCTGTCTGATTGCCCTGGCCAGAACTTCCAACACTATGTTGAATAGGAGTGGTGAGGAGAGGGCATCCCTGTCTTGTGCCGGTTTTCAAAGGGAATGCTTCTAGTTTTTGCCCATTCAGGATGATATTGGCTGTGGGTTTGTCATGAATAGCTCTTATTATTTTGAGATAAGTCCCATCAATACCTAATTTATTGAGAGTTTTTAGCATGAACGGTTGTTGAATTTTGTCAAAGGCCTTTTCTGCATCTACTGAGATAATCACGTGGTTTTTGTCATTGGTTCTGTCTATATGCTGGATTACATTTATTGATTTGCATATGTTGAACCAGCCTTGCACCCCAGGGATGAAGCCCATTTGATCATGGTGGATAAGCTTTTTGATGTGCTGCTGGATTCAGTTTGCCAGTATTTTATTGAGGACTTTTGCATCGATGTACATCAGGGATATTGGCCTAAAATTCTCTTTTTTTGTTGTGTCTCTGCCAGACTTTGGTACCAGGATGATGCTGGCCTCATAAAATGATTTAGGGAGGATTCCCTCTTTTTCTATTGATTGGAATAGTTTCAGAAGGAATGGTATCAGCTCCTCCTTGTACCTCTGGTAGAATTCGGCTGTGAATCCATCTGGTCCTGGACTTTTTTTGGTTGGTAAGCTATTAATTATTGCCTCAATTTCAGAGCCTGTTATTGGTCTATTCAGAGATTTAACTTCTTCCTGGTTTAGTCTTGGGAGAGATTATGTGTCAAGGAATTTATCCATTTCTTCTAGATTTTCTAGTTTTTTTGTGTAGAGATGTTTATAGTATTCTATGGTGGTAGTTTGTATTTCTGTGGGATTGGTGGTGATATCCCCTTTATCATTTTTTATTGCGTCTATTTGATTTTTCTCTCTTTTCTTCTTTATTAGTCTTGCTAGTGGTCTATCAATTTTGTTGATCTTTTCAAAAAACCAGCTCCTGGATTCATTGATTTTTTGAAGGGTTTTTTGTGTCTCTATTTCCTTCAGTTCTGCTCTGATCTTAGTTATTTCTTGCCTTCTGCTAGCTTTTGAATGTGTTTGCTCTTGCTTCTCTAGTTCTGTTAATTGTGATCTTAGGGTGTCAATTTTAGATCTTTCCTGCTTTCTCTTGTGGGCATTTAGTGCTATAAATTTCCCTCTACACAATGCTTTGAATGTGTCATCTGACAAAGGGCTAATATCCAGAATCTACAATGAACTCCAACAAATTTACAAGAAAAAAACAAACAACTCCATCAACAAGTGGGCAAAGGATATGAACAGACACTTCTCAAAAGAAGACGTTTATGCAGCCAAAAAACACATGAAAAAATGCTCACCATCACTGGCCATCAGAGAAATGCAAATCAAAACCAGAATGAGATACCATCTCACACCAGTTAGAATGGCAATCATTAAAAAGTCAGGAAACAACAGGTGCTGGAGAGGATGTGGAGAAATAGGAACACTTTTACATTGTTGATGGGACTGTAAACTAGTTCAACCATTGTGGAAGTCAGTGTGGCGATTCCTCAGGGATCTAGAACTGGAAATACCATTTGACCCAGCCATCCCATTACTGGGTATATACCCAAAGGATTATAAATCATGCTGCTATAAAGACACATGCACACATATGTTTATTGCGGCACTATTCACAATAGCAAAGACTTGGAACCAACCCAAGTGTCCAACAATGATAGACTGGATTAAGAAAATGTGGCACATATACACCATGGAATACTATGCAGCCATAAAAAATGAGTTCATGTCCTTTGTAGGGACATGGGTGAAGCTGGAAGCCATCATTCTCAGCAAACTATTGCAAGGACAAAAAACCAAACACAACATGTTCTCACTCATAGGTGGAAATTGAGCAATGAGAACACACGGACACAGGAAGGGGAACATCACACACCAGGGCCTGTTGGGGGGTGGGGGGAGTGGGGAGGGATAGCATTAGGAGATATACCTAATGCTGAAAGACGAGTTAATGGGTGCAGCACACCAACATGGCACATGTATATATATGTAACAAACCTGTGCGTTGTGCACATGTACCCTAAAACTTAAAGTATAATAATAAAAAAAAAAACAATAAAATTACATATTATAATTGGGAGTTCTATTCACAGAAAAATAAAATATACTGCAAAAGTCTCACATGCCTGTTGCTAAAGATGCCCCTTTCCTTTGAGCCTGTTAAACCAGATGATACAATAGTTTACCAATAATCTGTTGCAATTGAACTAAGAATTTCCCTTTCTGTGTTACTGTATTCCTGTTCCCCACCAGTGAACAACCACATACAAACACCTTGTGCATCAAGGAAACATTCAATTTCATTCTTTGAGGAGTTGAGGTGACAGAGTAGATTGAGTTTGAATATGTCGGATTAGGGCTAAGTGTGATCAAGCAAGTTTCAAGTTTTCGGGAAGCTTAAAGGAGTTTCTCTATCAACGTGGCAAGTGAAGTGAGAAGGAAAGGAAAGACAGCTGTGACTACATTCCTCTATGGGACAAGATGGAGGACCACATTTCCTTATTCTAACAACAGAATCATCTTTCGAATACTTAAGTTTTCTTTGAGAATGCATAACACTCTCTTCATCTGGGAGAAGAGAGGCAGCATCATTCATCTCAGTATATGATGGTTAAATATGACATTTCAATGTTATTTCCATATTCTACTAACTTCATTGCTTCAATTACATTTTCTGTATCTGTGGACCCTAAAGATGGCACAGTCTGACAACTTTTTAAATTGTTCCCTTTCCTCAATTGTTCTGACATGTAATACCTGAGGGATCATATAATATATCATGAAGACTTAGCTGATTTTTTTAAAAAAGCCCTCATTTCATGGTTGCTATATTTTTCTTTTTTCTAGATATTTATACTTTGATCTTTCACTCTTATTTTCTTGGTAAAAATAATGTTACTTCTAAGAAATTAGAATATTAGTATGTAGACTTCTCTATGGCACATTATTGTACAAATTTTATCTAACTTGAGAAAGAGTAGCTATGGCAGAAAAACTCAGATAATATTTTGATACCTTGAGTTTTCCTTAAAAAAAAAAAAACTCCTAGATTACCTTAAAAAGGCAAGCTTACATTAGGTAATTTGTCCATTTTTGTGAATACAGTTAATACTGCAAATAAACATTATCTAATAGGGAAAAATGTAAAATGTATTATCTTTCCGAACAAAAGAGACAAAAACAGGAAAATAAAAAATCTATTGCAAACTTTGAATCTAAAATAGCTCTTTACAGAAGAGTGTGCCTTAAGCCCCATAGCAAAAAATTGGAGGTAGCACTGCTTTGACATTGACTTAAGAGTCTTAGAATGAGGCCAGGCGCCGTGGCTCACGCCTGTAATCCCAGCACTTTGGGAGGCCAAGGCGAGCAGATCATGAGGTCAGGAAATCGAGATCATCCTGGCAAACATGGTGAAATCCTGTCTCTACTAAAAATACAAAAATTAGCTAGGTGTGGTGGTGTGAGCCTGTAGTCCCAGCTACTTAGGAGGCTGAGGCAGGAGAATCGCTTGAACCCAGGTGGCAGAGTTTGCAGTGAGCCGAGATCGCACTACTGCACTCCAGCCTGGCCACAGAGCAAGATTCCATCTCAAAAAAAAAAAAAAAAAAAAAAAAAAAAAGAATGAGAGAAAACCAGAAGTGTCTATAGGTCTAAAGGAAAAAAATCCATGAAGAAATTTGGTGTTTAGATTGAGAGAAGAAATACAAGATAGCTATAACTGAAAAATAACATAATATAAATTGAAAGAAGTGGCTGTGATGAGTTTGATTAAAAATGTAAACAGGTAAATAGTGGGGTTTAAATATAAAGAATACAAAGAATAAACAATATAAAAGTGGAAAGAGTAGGAATCAAAACACTATAATAATACAATATGAAAGTATGATTTTACAATATAAAGAGGTATAAAATTAATGAGATTATATTCGACCAATTTATTTGTGTAAGCCTTTTTTATTGGATGGTCATAAATAGATATATGTCCCAAACTGGTTAATATGATAATCATTAGTAGTTTGACAGAGATTCTAATCAGTTACTTTTACCCATATTTCCATACTCCAATCATTCTAAAGAAACACCACTGTTTTTATGTTCTCCTTTGTATTTTCTACTGATAAATTTTCCATATATTTGCCTTTGTTTTTTAATTTTGCTTTTACGCTTCTCAGAAAGATCACTGAAATAAACTATAAAAATCTGCATTTTTATTTCTGTTAAAACATGTTTCTAGTCATAAGCTATAAATGGAGTTGGAACTGTTGTAGGATTGGGCAGAGAATAGGAGTGATACTTTGGAAATGGCTATCTGGTCAAGCTACAAGTTATGATAGAAGCAAAGACCTGAATTAAAGACAAATGTTGGAGATAAATTACAAAGCAGCGTATTAGTATACTGGCAAAAGTGTTTCAACCCTCCAAATCTCTATTTTTTTCAAGCATAGGAAGTGCTGACAATTAACATCCTATAAATGCCACTAACCAAATGTACCTCACTAATACTTCTTTCTCTTTCTTGGGTCTACTCTGTAACATTTTACAAGTCTCCTGTCTTGTCTCCTGCTAGACCAGGTGATATCCAATGTCCCACTTCCCAAATTCATCTGTTCTGTCTCATGACTTCAGCGGCAGACCTTTTCCACAAGCCCTTTCTTGCTAAGCCTATTTTTTCCCTTGGGAGGTGGGTTTTATTTCTCCTTCGTTCTGAGCCCCACAGCTCAGGGAAACCCTGAATATTCCTACTCCATAGCCTCTCAGAACTCTAGATGAAAAATTAACCTCATCTTTTAAAGAATGCTTATCAAGTCTCCTCCTACAAAGCAGTTAATAATGTTCCAAGTCACTGATAAACTACAGGATTTCAGGAAGTTGAGGGAAAGCATGAAGAAATTGAAAGGATCGCAAAGATAATAAGTCTCAGAAACACTGTGGTTCAGTGGTGAAACATTCCATTCCAGAAAAAAAAAAAAAATAGAAAATAAAATACATATACTGGCACCAAAGACTGAGACAGAAATTTGTCTGTAAGAAGGAACCCAGGGAGATAAGCAGATAAGCATAATTCTAGGGCATTAACTCACACAGAGCAATGGATCAATGCCCCATTTATTTGAGAATTGGAGATCAGAGGGCGGAGTGCTTCCGGCAACAGCAAGGGAATCTTGGTTTTGTCCTGTAGGCTGCAATGGTGGCTTAAGACAGGAAATAATGGTTTTAGACATTGTAAGGCAATGTACAGACGGAACAGGAGTGTAATTTTATTTTTTAAATGCATTCTTATGAAAATTTCATTAAAATTGTGGATGTTTTAAAAACATGCATGATTTTAACATTTATATACCAAGTACTGACTTCGTACCAAACCTAATACAAAGTACATTTTCTTTTTCTATTTTTTTCTTTTTTTTTTTTGTCATGGGCAATCTAAGAGTCAGAAGCTTAGGTTATTTAAAGATTAATTGCTCTATATTCTAAGCTGGAAAGGGGAAATTACACCATTCTAGGAGCAACAATCTCTACTCCTTAATTGTATTAACATCAGAGTACTGGATAACCTAGTGACTTCTTGCATCACACCCGTGCACTTGCACGCTTTTCACTATGTCTCAGCACTGGAAGGGTCAAAACTCATTTTCTAGAAGACCTGACATCAGGTTCCAGTTTAGATTTCTCCCTCCACAAGCACATCACAAGAAGGAAAGTCAAAAAGTGTGATGTCTCTGGCTTAGAAGGCTGTTCATCGCTCCAGTGAGCACCTGACCAGCCTCCCTACTCTGGAGCTCTATCCAGCCCAGGACAGGGTGGAAGCTTCCAGAGCCTCCTACCATTTCCTGCCCCTCAGCATTCCACAGGTTTGTAAGCCCAGTACTAAATCTCATAAGAAGGCAGATCTGAGAAACAAGTTAGCACTATACTCTCCTTTAATCCTATCTTTATTTGTTTGTTTGTTTTTTGAGACGGAGTCTCGCTTTGCTGCCCAGGCTGGAATGCAGTGGTGCCATCTTGGGTCACTGCAATCTCTATCTACCACCTGGGTTTAAGTAATTCTCCTGCCTCAGCCTCCTAAGCAGCTGGCATGACAGGTGTGTGACACCACACCCGGCTAATTTCTGTATTTTCAGTAGAGACGGGGTTTTGCCATGTTGGTCGGGCTGGTCTTCCACTCCTGTCCTCAGGTGATCCACCAGCCTTGGCCTCCCAAAGTGCTGGGATTACAGGCATGAGCCATGCCCAGCCTTCTTTAATCCTATCTTTGCATTGTATTTTTAATTTTGTAAAACTTAATGTTTCATATATTTGAACCACCAATAAATAATTCCTATTGATGGTTCTAATATATATTTCCAATTTTTTCTTTAAAAATAATTCAGGATTTTAGATTATCTCTTTATGTATAACTATTAGTAACATTTTATCTCAATGTTAAAAAAATAACCTTTTCTTTGGCTTTAGCTAGATGGAAATAATAGTTTTGAGATATGCTTTTCTCAGTATCTTTTCAATCTCTACATTTTCTATGTAAGTATCCTACTTAATATTTCTCTCTTCTGATTTTTTTCTGTTAGTGGTAACATGAAACAATTAGAACTTGAACAAACTGGAAGACTAGCAGTGTTTTTTGATCAGCAATACTTTTATTACAAGTGTTTATCAGCAATTTCTTGGCCTCTACTCACTAGATCTTGATTCAGTTGACTTCCTTGCTATTCCAGGCCCCCAACCAACTCAGTCTTGACAAACAGACTAACTCCAGACACCATGAAATGTCCCCTGAGGACAAAACTCTTGGTTAAAAACTACTGCGTTCGACTATTGTCTTATATCACAGACTCAGCCACTCCAGCTATATGTATGCATTTATCACAGAACTATATATTCTTTTCATATTCCTATCCAACATAGTCTGTGATTTCAGGTATGCACAGATCATTGGAAAACATTGAGTCTTCTCTTTAGAAGACTATGTAATTTTTTAATGGCTGTATTCCTGCATTTAATCTAGTTAGGATTAGAAGTGGGGAATTATTTTACAAAGGAAGAAGGAAGGATACATTTTAAAAGATTTTTTTTAACTGCCTGGATTTTTCTAGGCTACTGTGATAATGTAATTGTAAATATTAACTCAAATATATGAGTCTGACAATCATCCAAATATATTGCCTTAATCAATATTATTTTCATGTGAATGAATATTTCTCTTCTTTGAATTATTTTTCAGGGCTGATCATCGAATTAATTCCCAAAAGTATATATTGTATTGCCTGAAAAAAAAAAAGTGGCTTAGAATCCAGTGTTTCACTCTGCCCTGTAACAGCTACTTGACCTTAAAACAATTCATTTAGCAATTTTACCCTTCAGTTTTCTTATGAATCTCCAGGTATAAAATAAGGTTTCAATATTTGCTTCTCACCTCAGGGAAATATTTTGAAGATTCTGAAAGTGACTCAGAAATGCCTTGCGGTATTCAAGCCCATCATGCCTGACTGGAAGAGTGAGTTACACCCTAAAGGACATCAAATATTTAATTTTGATAAAACTATGACCAAGGCAAAGTTGGTGGTAGCAGGTGATTTACTTTAGATAAACACTAATCCCTAGCCTTTGGCAACATATTCAGTACACTGAATTTGCTCTCAGATTTTTCTCAATGTACAAATGACAACTTGTAGTGGTACCTTCAAGTTATCTTATTTCCAGTTCACTTGGCCATACATATATTATTAAACTTTAATTTCCATTGTCTCATCTTATATTTATAACATCACAATTGGTGATGTTTTATATAAGAAAAGTATTTTAATATCCTAGTATCAGTGTAATTCAACACATCCTTGAGTTTCTGGAATTCATTCTGTGGTTCAATCATCCAGCAAGCTTTTATTAAGCCAATACTCTGGAGAAAGATCTTTGAGGTAAAAAATATATCAAGTCATGGTCTGTAACCTGAAATTAACATACCCTTCAAATTATTGAGAAGTCCATGTATTTACATATGTTTCAATTACAATAATATGTAATATGCATTTTAAATAACAACTGTGGGAAAGGTTGGATAAGTGGTACAATTTATGTTGAAGCACTTTAGAGAATTCAGCTCTGGAACTTTCATTCACTATTAATACGCTTAGCATTCCATGAGAGATGTCTAAAAGTATATTCATTACGTATTTTTTAAAAACTGATTTTATTTTCTTTCTTTTTGTAAGAAAGAAATTTTTGCATGTATTCACACCCTGCTTATTAACATTTTTTCTCCATAAGCCTTTAACATTTAAATTACTCTGGTATTACTCAGTCCATTGTAGCTAAAATGCAGTTAGAGTTTCATTAACTTAGTTTTACATTTAAAATCTGTTTAATATAAAAAAGGAATTTAAACATTTTATAAATATATATTATTAAATGTTTAGCCGGTGTTTAATTTGGTGAAAATTTATGTTCTCTATTATCTATCTTTTATGATGTTCCCAATACGTTTCCTTTTCTTTTCTTTTAAGATGAAGAAGGAACACATGCAGAAATGAAACAAATAATGTTTTATGTCCTCTAAAAAACTCCCTGCACCCTTCCATAAACACACACACACACACACACACACACACACACCTGCAGCAGATTAAAGTATATAATAAAGAATTGCTAACTTTGAAATAATATATAAAGCAGAAACAAGGAAACTACAACATAAAGATAAGAAGCTTATAAGAATTAGGAAAAATTAGAGAGGCTTATTAGGGTGAACATATAATTTATCATCAGAATTGGTCACGTTAGAGACTAAAAAAGGATGCTATTAATAATTGCATTAGTACAACAAGTTTAAAACCTACTGACAAACACCACTCCTTCTTGCCATTGACTATAATGATTTAATGCAAGATACTTTTAAAAGGTTCAAATTTGCTAGGGTCTTAATTGTCGTATATTCTATAGATCTGAAGTTTTCTTGGTAATATTATTTTCTGTTAATCATCTCTTTGTTCTAGTGTTGAAAGTTTGTTATTGGTGTGCAAATGGCTTTGCAATATAATTTATTTTTCCACAGTTGTGGACTTAATTATCATGCTAATTAGCACCCTGTCCTACACACATATATACATACATACACTATAGATAATTCTAGGAACTTATTTTAAATATTAAAATGATAATATTTCAACTCTAATCTGTTGTTTTATTACTAGCAAATTTGATCCAGCATGTTAGAAATTATTTAATGGAAGATTCGATTTAAAGCATAAATTTTCTCACAAATCTGGTGCTTACCATATTGCCAGGAATAAAGAATAAGTTTTGAAACTTTTTGACTTCCCGTTTAAAGTTATGCAAACCCAGAAATTAGTTGTGCAAATTCCAAAAATGTATAGTGTGTATATATATATATTTATATCTATTTATACATATATCTATATCTATTACTTATATGTCATACATAAGTACATATATACTTAAGTATTATATACTATAACTTAAGTAACTGTAGTTTAAATATCTATATTTACTCATTGCTATGGTTATAACTTAAGTATATTTAGTTATATTATAATCTTTTAGAACTAAGTTTCTCCTCATCCTATAAATTCTGTGATTTCAGATATTTGTAGGTAAGAACTTTCTTGATCTGGCTGCTAAATTAACTATCTATCTTCTTCCGATTTTACTCTCTCTGTCTCATTCCCACTTGTCACTCCCTGAGTAGGTCCCAGCTGACTTACGTCAGTTAAAGAAGTGAAATTCTAAGTTGATCCTCTCAAGATAATTTAAATAAGTCAGTATTCTATAAAATATGGGAAAACATTACCTACTCTTCAAACTTGAATACTACATTTCTTCTGAAACCGCATTGACTGATCAAGCTAAAAAAGTGGAACTTCAGAGTAAATCCATCAAGAGAATGGAGATACATTGTTCTTTTCTAGTGGATGATTTGAGCTATCTATCAATATGTCTCCAGGCCAAGCTAGAGAAATTTAGTATAAAACCTTGAGTGTTAAGAATGTTATTCATCACATTTTTAAAAGAGTTTTCTGGGGTAAAGTAGACTATGTTCCACCTCTCTGGGAGAATTTCTTCAATTAGCTTTAAAACACAAGTAAGAATTTTATAGTTAATCTTTCTAGATATTTGCGAAGAATATTTACCTAAAATTGCTAGTAGGAAGGTAGATATACATTTATTCCCTTTTCCATTTAAAGTTGAAATAATGTTAATTTTATACCATATGCAGCTCAGATCGTAGGCAGCCTCCTCTTTCCCTAACCACATTGCCATTTCTAATTATTTTTCCCATTTTTCTATTCCTTACTGTTGCTTAATTTATCTTTTTTGTTTTTTTCCCTTTCTACATTATTTGTGACTTTCTTCCTCCTCTTTATTCTAGTTTTTATTGCATTTTAATTGCCCCTTTTAATTATATTTCTGAGAAGATTGCATAGAATTTGATTATTTAATTATGTTATACATAGATTTAAGCAGCATTTTGTTTGTAAGCCATTTATACTTAATGTAATTCCTCGAGTCTGGCACCTTAGACCACTCAGCCAACCTGACAAGCTATGTAATTACTAATTGAGATTAAATTTGTCACTTTGCTCTTTATTTTATATTTGTTCTACTTGTTATATTCACTTCCTTAAGTTATTTTGATTTTTCCACTTTATTAGCTTTCTAAATAGTCATCCATTTAGCATACAATAAAAATCATAGCAAGCATCATCAAATAATTAAATTCTATTATAAATTAATACTTTTATGACTTCCCTAACATTTAAAAATTATCCAATGCCTCCTGCCTTTTTAAGTTATGCTTTCTAGGTATTTTTAAATTAGATTTATATTTGAACTACATAAGTCATTATTACTACTGGTGTATACTTTCAATATCCACTTAGATTTCCTCAAGTATTTATTCTTTATTATTTTCTTTGATAATCATTTCCTCATGCATCACCATACTTCCATCTTGAATAATTTTTCTTGTGCCTAAAACTTACCCTTTAGCATTTCCTTTGGTGTCGGCCTGTGGGTAACAAATTTTCTAAGTTATTGTTTGTCTCAGTGTCTTTGCTTTGCCTTCATTTTTAAAGAATGTTTTCCCTTGTATAAACTTGTAGGATGACAACAATTTTTTTAGCTCTCTCTATGTCAATTTTTCTTTCTTTCTAGAAATTCTTCCTGTAATCTCAAGCCAGAGTTCAGTTTGGCTCTGCACTTCTGGTGTCATTCATACTTTTTAAAACAAGACCTAATACGTCAATGTGTATTGATTCCAAGGTTAGCATTAAAATATACATCTTAGAAGTATGCTGTACACTGTGATAGTACACCATCATGTAGAAAAACTACATAGGTGAAGAGTCATTCAGAACATACTAGCAGTAGACAAGTGAATTGTACCACTAATCATAATTAGTAAATGCCAGTAAATATCTTAATGTCTAAATATTCTCACCTCTATTCATTATTCCTTAATACACTCATTCATTTCTTCATTCAACAAATAATGAGTGACTCCTCCCATGGGTCAGAAACTGGGTTAAATATGGGCTTTCACATTTCTTGTTTGTTCATATAGTTTTTCTAGGACATTTTCTACCTGTATATGAATTTCAAAATATATATATTTTAAAAAGAAAAATCCATCCAGATAATTCCGGGAAGTGTTCACAGTAGGTGGTCATCTAAGATTTTTGTTTGCTTGGTTTTAGTGGCTGATATACATTTTTTTAACCTAGAAAATCATTAAATAGCAAATAACTAAAGACAACTTCTAGGTAGGATTTCTATGATGCATAAGACTGTGATGGGAGTAAAAGTGTTTTCAGGAAAAAGAATAAGAACAATGCAGTTTAAGGCATTACAAAATTGGCATTTTCAGGTATAAACTCCTTATCCTCCTTCCCTGACTTATTATTATCTATGATATATTTTCCACCTGGCATATTGTATTTACTGTGTATTATTTGTCTCCCTGTGCTAGAATATATGCTCCATGAAATCAGAGATGTTTGCTCTTTTGTTAAAGTCCCTATGTGTAGCAGTAGATCTGTGCCTAGCAAATAGAAGGTACTCAATAAACACTTGTAGAATGAATGGATGAATTTTGCATGATGATCTCATAACATAATCTAATTTTCTAAAGGCAGGGATGATATCATACTTAAATTTTGTTTTCCAAACCCCTAAAAAATGGCCTTTAATAAAAAGTTTTGCTCAGTAAATGTTTATAAATTGATTAAATGAGTGATTAGATAAAACACCAGTGTAACCTGTCAAGTTATAGACTAACTTAAGTCCACTGTGAGCACTGAACAGAAAGCTTCTAGCTGCAGAATTTGAAGTCATCTTTCTGGTAGTAAAGCAATAAATTTCAGATCTCTTTCCTTCTCATTCAAATTCCATTATTCTACCTAGAAGGCATAAATTTGTCTTTGTTATGAGGAAAATGAAGAAAGACAACAAAAGAAGCATGAGCATATATAAAATAGGATTCAGGTGCTAAATGATAAGAGAAAAGTAAATCAAAAGTAGGAGATGGAAAGCAATAAATGAAGCAAGATATGATGGTAATGGCTCAGACCAGATGTTAGGGGTGGAGATAGTGAGTTGAATTTAAACTTTGAGTCCTGTTGTTCTGCAACTTAAATAGTAAAATAATGGTACTAACTGATTTACAGGGTGGTGAATAGGATTAAATACAATAATATATGTAACGCAAAAAGAGTTAAAATGGCATCTGGACGTAATAACTATTACGCAATAACTGACATCTGGGTATGGGGCTTAGAAAATACCATGGCATATAGTCATTATTCTATAAAACTTATCATCGATAACAGGTTTATGGGCACCTGAATATTGTCCTTACTTAGGTATCTGAGCTAATCTGTAGATTATTAGAAAAGGCAGCATTCTCCCCAGACTACAGACAGGTGGATTTCATAAAGCCACTGACATCATAGGATTTTCACAGCTACATTAGCAGAGGAATAACTTCTGATTTGTTTATGTTGTATAATGCTGGCTTTTAAGGACCCAGACACATTGAAATATCTCTAGTAAAAAAAAAAAAATTCTACTGTGTTTCTGCTTTTGTTGCCGCTTTTTGATACTTTGTTTATATATGCACATATGGACCGCCATTTGAACAGACTATAAACCTTCACTCTTAGTTTTTTTTAGCTTTTTAGTAACTCTAGATTACTATTCTCAATAACCTGGGAGTTTGTGTGCTTCAAAAAATGTATTTTATATATAGAAATTGATTAACACTGATACTTCTTAAATCATAAAATGCTATTACGTAAGCACCCAGTTTCCTGTTTCCATCTCTTTCCTATGAACATATTTCCCTCTACTACAAATCTGTTGGCACTGGAATAAAAATAAAGGAAAACTTTTAGTAACACAAAGATATTTTGATATATGTAATATCACAATTCTTTATATATAAACTCATCTACAAAGTATCATGACAAATATTTAATATATCACCGAAATCAGAGCTTTTATTGTATCTACTGGAGCAGAAGCAAACAATAAAAGGCTTCACCATTCTTTATGAGTTAAATGGCTTCAAGTTTCTAAATTGTCGAGCCATATTCTTTTATTTTTAGTGTTTGTATATAGTTAAACCCTGGACCTGACTCCAAAACTTGTACAGTTTCATGACTTTTACATTTAATTCATTAAGTTATATATTTATTTAGTACATATGAAATACTGGTCATTGTGTTAGGACAATGAACACTTAACTATTTAAAGCTTGGCCTGTTCTGCAGGCACCTAAAGCAAATCTAATTTTTTAAACCTAAAGTTAATATCATCCTTTAAACATAAAGTTAATTTCATCCTTCTAAATTATATATACATACATATATATTCATATATATGTATATACACACACGATATATGCACATGTATGTGATATATGTATACATGTACATATATAATATATAGGATACATGTACATACATCACATGTGTGTATATGTGTATATACATGTGTATATATATGTGTGTATATATGTATACACACACTCATATATATAAAGTGCTTTAGATATATTTGTTTTCGTGTGGCATGGAATCCTCAATATCAAGAATATTTTTGTACTTTTGATATTGCATGCATCATATCTCATGCTGCAAAAAAGGGGAAAACATACAAATTGTGTATATAAAATTAAATGAGAAGAACTTTCCAAGTCTTTTTTATTTAGTGATTTTGGAAAGTTTATTGACTAATTAAGTGACAAAGTTATTCCATCTTTTTAAAACTTAGATTTCCTTCATCTAATTAAATGACAAAGTTTCTATCATTCTTTGTAGTTTTATTCCTTTCCCAGTTGCTGAGGAATTTTCTCTTCTCAAAGCTAAATCACTTCCCAATTCTCAATAGGCATGATTTATCCTTACTTAAACATACATAATGACATAGACATGTATAATAATTTTTCCCTACTTCCAAACCCCCATTTCTCCTAGTCACATTTTTTTTTCTCTCCTAAGGGAGGCTATTTAGGGTACCGAGGACCCATGTGGTTAAAATGCTACTAGAAAATTTACAGAGATTTGAGTTTAATAATACAGAAGCCTGACACTGGGCATCTAGATCCAGATTCCCAGGTTGGAATCTTGAATTCAATGCCCATTATTATTTAATTTTTCTTTCCTTTTCTCTTTTTTTTTTTTTTTTTTTTTTTTAGACAAGTTTTCTCTCTGTCACCACCATGCCTGGCTAATGTTTCGTATTTTTTTTTTTTAATACGGGATCTCTCTATGTTGTCCAGGCTGGTCTAGAACTACTAGACTCAAGTGGTCCACCCACCTCAGCCTCCCAAAGTGCTGGAATTACAGGCATGAGCCACCACATTATGCCACTTTTAATTAATTGTAAGAATGTGATCAAAGGACGAGCAAACTTCTCACTCATCTATTTTTTTCCCCACTCACTTTAAATAGGGGTAGTACTAGTATTTAACTCATGGAAAAGTTACATGGATTACATGAGTTTATAATGTTTCTTCCTATTATTATTGTTCTTATTAAAGTGATTTCAGTAACCACTTCTGGGGAAATAGGCAACACAGTATCACAACAGGAGAAACCCTAAGAACTACAGAGAGTCATATACAATTCTTCATGTAATCCAAGAAATATATGAACTTACTTTCAAAAATCACTCAAAGAACATAAATTGAAAGACCTTCGATGTGAATTAATCAGCAGTCAGGAGTGTTTGCCCCAAGACAATGAGGACAAGTATAAGCAAAATATTTCTGGTTTTGCCTTCCTTCAGGATGACAGTCGATAGTTTATGTAGCACAAGAAATAAATAGCATTGATTTAATGTTAGAGAGTGATTAGAATCAGCAGGGGAACACACCAAGAGAACGGGGGACGGTCCCTGAAGGCTGGGTGAGGAAATACTTTTCATTTATGGCATATAAATCCATATCCCAATTTTATTACATCTCAGAATACATTAGCATCATATCCACAGGCAAGTATTTTCTAAGACTTGTTTACTTAAAAAAATGTACTTTTTTGGAATAAAGTTGTTCTCCCAAACATGTTGCTTGGTGGCTTGATGCCTCTCCACAGAATAGAATGACAAAGTGAAGATAAATTTCTGAGGATGACAGAGGTTGAGAGCAATCCTAAACTCCAGGGTAGTCAAGGAGAAAAATGAAAGTAAATGTGCCTTATTCTTTTTTGTTGTTGTTTGTTTGTTTCTAGTGCTTAGCACAATATCAAGAACAAAGCAAAAATTCAGTTATTTTTTTTTCAATTACTATATATAAATTAGAGATGGTAAAATTGCTTTAGAAATATCCTCAAAGCATTTGTATTACTGAATAAAAACGTACTTTATTGTGATATTCATATATTCAAGTTTTCCACTGCAAATAAAGGTTTAATTATTAAATTATTATGCCATAAATTATATTTGGACATTTTAGCTGACATATTTATATTCCTAGTATCTTATGCTTGTTTTTAGCTGCCTTGATGTTCGCTTCCAATTAAAGGCTAAGGAAAGTAGTCATGCAGGTTGGCATTTGAAAATAATGTTTTCAAAGTTAACTATGGTCTCAAACAAGCATTTTCAACTGCAAAGAACATTTCTTTAAGTGCAAAGAATAAATTTTGAGAGCACCAAGCCTAGAATAATGGAGGATAGAATTTTTCAGTAATCCATAGAGTAGGAAGGTTGACACAATTCTGATCTCAGAGCAGATTATATTCCACTCTGAGACTGGAAGGAGAGGCCCAGATAGAGGGAAAGATCTATTTATAGGATACTAATGATGTTCACAATATCTGCTAACTCTCACAGGAAATTGTTTTAATATGGAAATCAAATAATTTATATGATACACAAATTAATAAATATAGGCCAGGAATAGAATGGGGTACAGTACAGAAGCTAGCCTGCATCTAGCCAGTAGAAACCACACCTTATTACTGGCCCAAGATCCTGGCTAGGGCTTTGTAGAAACCCTTCAATAAATAGAATGGGGATAGTGTAGTCTGAGAGACTGCTGCTGATGCACTGCATAAATACAGTAGATAAATACATATATAATATAGATATAAATGTAGATATATAGATGTAGATTAATAGATGACAGAATTTGGTTATAATTTTCAGTGTCTCTTTAGCAACATTTTTCTACATTCTTATTACTTCTTTTTTTCCCCCTTTCCATTCTTTTTGCTCCTTCTCTCTTATACAAAGTATTGTCTGAATAAATCATGTCTGATTTCATTTTATATTTATTTATTTATTTATTTATTTAGACAAGGTCTGGCTCTGTCACCCAGGCTGGAGTGCAGTGGCACAGTAATGGCTACCTGCAGCCTTGACTTCCCAAGCTCAAACAATCCTCCCACCATAGCCTCAGAAGTAGCTGGGACTATGGGCGTCTGCCACCATGCCAGGCTAATTTGCTTTTTTTAATTTTGTGTAGTGAAGGGTTCTAACTATGTTGCTTAGGCTGGTCTTGAACTACTGGGCTCAAGTGATCCTCCTGCCTTGGCCTCCCAAACTGTTGAAATTACAGGCATGAGCCATCATGCCAACCTAGTTCAATTTTCTAATACTGCTAATCTTTGGAAGTGGTGGGATTTTCCTGGACCAACTATTTGAGGGAGGTCTATATGAGGAAAGACTCAGTTTATGCTCTCCTAGAAGCAGAATTTTACCTTATGATCTAGTTATAACGTGTGTGTGTGTGTGTGTGTGTGTTTACCTTTTTTATTTATACCCAGAACTCAAAAGTGTAGGGTTGAGCAAAGATTCAGTGTTTTCTCTCTACACGAGTATACAGATAGTTGCTTTTTACAAAATTGTATTATCTGGACACTCTGGTTCAGCTCCATATCACTTGCTGCTCCAGACTCACTGAATAAAGTCTCCGCAAGTCTTTCCTACAGCCCTTGCCTTCATTGTTAGAACCAATGAAATACCAATTTTCCCTATGGGATATGCTATTCATTTTGAGAAATCATACAATCTTCACTTTATGAGATCTTTTATCACAACTTCTTTATCTGTCTTTACTAATTCATCAGTCCTTCCTCATTTATTAGACTTGGTCTTATGCATCCATAGTTTTGTCGAGCATGTGTTTTTATTTCAGCCTCTGATTCTTTTGATATTGTGTAAAATCCCGGGGGAAATGATATGAATTGTTTTCCATCTTCTATAATGCCATTTAAAAACTAGAACAATGAGGCCGGGCATGGTGGCTCATGCCTGTAATCCCAGCACTTTGGGAGGCTGAGGCAGGCGGATCATGAGGTCAGGGGGTCGAGACCATCCTGGCTAACATGGTGAAACCCCATCTCTACTAAAAATACAAAAAATTAGCCGGGTGTGGTGGCGGGCGCCTGTAGTCTCAGCTACTCGGGAGGCTGAGAGAAGAGAATTGCTTGAACCCGGGAGGCGGAGGTTGCAGTGAACACCCAGATCGCATCACTGCACTCCAGCCTGGGCAACACAGTGAGACTCCATCTCAAAAATAAAATAAAAATAAAAACTAGAACAATGAGACTGAGTTTAAGCATACACATGACTGAATGCCTTACATGGAAACTTCTTTTTTTCCTTCTGAAAATGGAAATAGAGATGATAAATAAGTAATGTCCATTTTGCCATTATGCCTGCTGTACTTTTTACATCAATTGTGTTGTATACATTTTGAGTTCCTATTGTATTATGATTAATAAATATATTTTCTTTTTAAAATTATTGTATTTTTAAGTTTCAGGGTACATGTGCAGGAGGTTAGGTCTGTTGCATAGGTAAATGTGTGCCATGGTGGTGTGCTGCACCTATCAACCCATCACCTAGGTATTAAGCACAGCATGCATTAGCTCTTTTCCCTAATGCACTCCCCACCGCACCCTCCCCTGTATAAATATATTTTCAGTAAAAGATGATATGACTGAACGTTACCAAACTACTGAGCAACTGTCTCTCAGGAAAAATTTCTAAATAGTTCTCTTAGGTCATGGTTTATTGATTAATCCTAGAAACTTCACATAGAAGACCTAATTCTGCAGTAGTTTAGTTTAATATTACCTTGTCAGTATCCTAAACTTCAACATAAACGATGTATCCACTCCTTCAGGAAACTATACTTCACAGAAACTCTAGCTTTTGATCCTCTTAGAACTAAATATTCTCTTTCTCTGAAAGATTTTTTCCCCTACTTTTTTGCTTAGTTACCACTGTGTTTTACCTTGCTGTATCTCTTGTATTCCTTAATTTAATTCCTATTTCCTGTATTTTCTTTTTAAAAATCCATATGCTGCAGGTGCTCTGATCTTTAAAAGAGGCTGATTTGGTAGACTTCTCTTTGTGCAAGAGTGAGTGAGCTGCCACGTGGTATATGAGGCAACAGAAATGGAATTGTGCTTCTCTCAAGGTCAAAACTCTCTTTTGTTTGTCATAATCATAATAGCGGAAATATGAGAAAGCAGATTTGAAAGGGAGCATGGCCCGAAAGAGGGTAAGGCCAGCACACTGTGATGACAGGACTGTGCAGCAGCGGAGCTATTATAATGATAATATCTCACCCAGGACAGCAGAGAATTGGGTAAATGCACAGGCTGCTTGAAGCCCAGCCTATCTCCTTTCTGCATGAGAAGGTGACTGAGTGACACAACATTTTCTCTTTTTTTGGTGTCTGCAGGTGTCATGATTTAACTAGTCCTTTCATGGCATGGGAGATCAGTGCACTTGCATATTTACTCTCCTCTTCCATCCCTCTCTATTTCACTCTCTATTTCCTGTCATTTAACTAATTAGGTAATTATGCTATTCAGTTAACATTAAGTAGACAGCTATTCTATACTAGACATAACATTAGAGCAAGTTCCTTAGAAGCTCATGGTTCTTGGGAAGAAATAACTGTAAGTAAATAATTACAGACATGATTTTTAAGTACTCTAACAGATACACACACATGAATCTCATCATAAAATACTAGAACTATATAATCACCAGGATAACTGATGTTTTTGGTTAGGAATGTGAAGACTAATTGGAAATGAATAGTAAGAAGAGCTATACAGGAACAAAGTCAGCCTGCTCTTTTCTTAGAAGTGTGATGCTTTTCTTTCTGCAAGATCAGAATAGCAGCCTCCCTACCTGTTCCTGAAGGGGCCACAGGCCTTTCTTTACACCTGTCAAAATAACATAAGAATCAGTTTCCTGTGTGTAAAGAAGAACATGTTAATGGTTGCGAAAATCTCATTGTTTTGTGAACCCAAGAACTAAAAGTATTTTCTTTTTCTTTTTTAATTTGAGAAGATTAGTATGCAAAAGAGGTAACAGGAAATGCTGTTAAAAAAATTAAAAGCCAAACTGTACATTGGGGGCATCTATACTATAAGGATAAATACCCTTAATTTATAGAGTACTTAATAAAACAAAATAGTTGCCATTTTAGGGACTATGCAAAAAATCAAAAATATTAATTAAAAAATGGAATAAAAATAACCTGTAACTATGAGACATAATGGTTAATCTAATCAATAACTAAAAAATGCAAATTTAAAGACAAGATATAAGTTTCAAAATTATATATCATTCAAGCAGAAAAGAAAAAAATCAATTTTCAGACATTTATTAGCTAGAAAATTTGGTTTCAGTTAATGTTTGAGAGCATTTCAAGATATTATACTTCTGAATTCTGCTTTCAGCATGTATTTTCAGACTGGAAGCAGAAAAAATTTTTTAAAATTTAGAATTTATAAATTTTAATAAATTATATTTTTATTTATTATATATTTATATGTATAACAAATATTCATAAATTTAATGATTCTGATAATTATAATTAATTTATAATCATAAATTTAAAATTATAAGTATGAATTTTAAATTTATAATTATAAATATTTACAATTATACATAAAAATTTAAAATTTATAATTTTAAATTTTTTTAAACCTGGATGCATCTGACATGGTGAGAGAAACTTCCATACTCTGCATTTCAGATTTAATATTGGCACAATACAAAAATTTTTACAAAAAGTTTTAATGCCACTTATCACAGAGAAAAACTTAAAACACCCTACATAGTCCACATTTTTGGAATAATTACACTAACTTATAATGTGGTTCATATTATAAATGGAATTCTTTTAAGTCATAAAACATGCTTCTATGATTATCACATGGAAATCATTAGAAATAAGTTTATGTTGACTTTCGCATATACAGAAAAAACTAAGCAAAAATAGGCACAAAAATATTTATCAATCACTTATGCAGACACTAAAATAAAAATTCTTTCTTAAAAGGGAACATGATAAAATATTCATAGTGGATTTTGTTGGCTATGAAGTCTCTGAGTGATATGTTTTGTACATTTTAAGGCTTTATTGTTCAGTTGAAAAGGAATTTTAAAATAAAAAATCAACATAAATGCAGGTGTTTATAGTTTATCTCAGGCATTTGGCACGGGCCCATTTATGGGAAATGAGGACTTCAATTAAGTATTAGATTGGTGCACCAATTTAATAATACTGGACACTTCAGTGACTACAGTTGCGATTCTATGTTGCAGTGAAAATGACAGAAAATGTAATGTAGATTGACATGGAATGCTGCAGACAGAGACAAGAGGGGATTCTGGGCCCTAATTTGCCTGGTAGCCTCAGGCTTTCCACTATGTACTAGGAAAACAAGCTGCTCCTTAACTGGCATATGAAAAGGTCAGGTTTGAAATTAAACTGGACAAATACTTGATTTCCATGTATGATGCCGATTCTGTGATTTTTAAGCTTATTATTTTATGAAGTTCTTTCTGGAGAACATGAAGCCCATCCCTAATTTGAACTATTTCCATTAATGGTTCTTTTTTTCTCTGATTTCTACTAATAATTTTTCCCAATTGCTAGCATCAGCTCTTTTACAATTTCATCCTTCCTCTTTTTTTTTTTTTTTTTTTTTTTTTGTAGTACTAAACTATTTTAAAGGTCAACAGAACTTTGAAAGGTGAATTAAAAATCAGCTAAAAACCTATATGGAATATGTGTATTTATAGGATTCTTACGATATTCACATGTGCTAAATGTGTAGATGATTGTTTTAATAGGAAAGTTAAATAACAGCAGGGTGCGGTGGCTCACTCCTGTAATCCCAGCACTTGGGGAGGCCGAGATGGGCGGATCACAAGGTCAGGAGATCAAGACCATCCTGGCTAACACGGTGAAACCCCGTCTCTCCTAAAACTACAAAAAATTAGCTGGGCCTGGTGGAGGGCGCCTGTAGTCCCAGCTACTCGGGAGACTGCGGCAGGAGAAAGACATGAACCTGGGAGGCAGAGCTTGCAGTGAGCCAAAATCGCGCCACTGCGCTCCAGCCTGGGTGACAGAGCGAGACTCCATCTCAAAAAAAGAAAAAAAAGTTAAATAACTTACATTTATACAAACTTAACTGCAAAGGTATTCATGTCTACTAAATTCCCATGCCCCAGTTTTCAGTTTTTGTGACTTTCATCAAACAGAGTGGTCATTGTTCTTTTATTATTAAAACACAACTGGCTTACAGGTATTTGTGATAGCTTTATGAAAACATGGCAGGACAACTTAATTTTTTGGTTTTACAGTGTATTTTTTCAAATCAAATTGTGTTTTTAAGAGAGCTTTGCCCTTGAAAACACTGCATTATTACTATATGGGCAAAAGTCATCATTTTGATGAAATCATTTGGTCCTATATCATAAAGAGACAAAATCTAAAACCCTCTAACTACTTCTCTTTGCTCTCAAAAAGCAAATCAAATTCCTGTGCTGCCAAATCACTAGTAAATAACCTTGCTGTGGAGCATGTCCTTAGTTCATTACTCTTCTGTACCGTCTGCCAGCTCCTTGCCGCGGCAGAGTACAAAGAATGCTTTCACATTTACATTTTCTTTTACAACTTGAGGGGAAGACGGCAAAAATCACAGCAATCACAATGAGAAAGATGATTTTAATATATTTGCAATATCTTCCTAAAACATTCTTGAAATACCTCTTCCCTGACACTTCCACTGGCATTGCTGAGCTTGAGTCACATGCACATAATCTTAGGGGAACGGGAGCATCAGAAAGAAAGCTGAAATTGCTCCCAGCCAGGGAGCTATAAGCATCTACTTGAGGAGCTAAAAGAATGATAGACGTGGGCTTTGTTTCTGACCTCTCTTTCAAGGCTTCTCTGTATTTACATAGCTGAAGTGAGCACAGAGAGAGGCTGTGCTGTCAGAGAGCATTTTTTTTTTCTTTTTTTATCCAGTATGTCAACCATGAAAAGAAAGGAAAGACAGCTTTCACCTAATAGCTAGAGTCAGGGCCCAAAGCAGAAGGTTTAGTCTCAGTTTACTTTTCTTTTTGCCTCCTGCGACTTGTGAGACACTGGATGAGCACTGGTTTTTATATTCATCAAAGATTTTCTGTACCTGCCTATTAGTCGTTGAATATCGTACAATTTAAGACATTTAGAAATAACTATTGGACACAAGTCAAAGGAAGAAATTATATTATTGCAAAAACTGATGTTTATTCAAACTGGAAGACAGTACAGTAACAGAACTTCGTTGCTGCTTTTTTTTTTTTTTTAAATGGGTATTATCTGATTCACTCTAAGTAGGAATATGGAGTTTATCATCCTCTATGATAATGAATTATCTCTTTATCTAACTTAGGTAACAAAACATCCTTTAGAAAGAAAATGTTCTATCCATCTCCTGAGTACAAAAAGAGAAGGGAAAATAAAAGTAATTGTTTGCATTATGACAAAAGGCAGGTTACCATAGAATGTTAGATCTAGAATGCACTAAAAGGCCAATTCATCCAATGTCTCATTATGAAGATGAACAAAAAAAGGCACAGAATATTTAAGTGTTTTGCTCAAGGACATTGAAAAAGTTAGGATGGTCTTACATTGTGTCACTTACAATATCAAGAATAATAATTTATAGGATTCTAGAATTTTGGTCCTTACCATTTTATTACTGTATATGAATTTCATTGTGATTAAATCTATGCAGGAAAGCAATAAATAATAAACTCTATATTGTATTTCTTCTGGGAAAATTCATTCTTCACCCTTGAAGCAATGCTTAATTTGTACTGTAGAAGAATGTTGGACGAACCCATTAGAGAACGAAGCCATTCCACTGGATCTTATACTGTAGGGATATTGGGAAAAGGAGATGGTGGGGATGCGATGACAGTTTCCTTTATAAGCTTAAACACTTTATCCCATGAAATGTATTCCACTATTTACTTGACATGAATTGAATAAACAGTAAGACACATCAAAGACATGTTCTTGGTACCTTAATCTCATGGCTATATTGGGTGTATATATTTATATAAATATACACATTACTAGATATTAAAACATGTATTTGATTTAGATATTTTGAAGTATAACATCTTCATTATACTTCAGTAATATTGAGGTATTGCACTGTATTTTAAATTTTATTTACTTAGATTTGAAATATGCTTTAAAGAACTAAAAGCATTCTAGTTTCAATATAGCTACTTAAATATGAAAAACAAAAGTGAACACAGATAACCATTCAATAGTCAATTGAATACCTGATTATGATTTCTTAATTACTGCTCCAGAGTGCAATTACCGCCTAGTCTTACATGAACATCTACATTGCAAATATTTAAACATAGGCACTATAACCTTTTTTTCTACCCAAAGAAATTATTATTTCCCTATTTTCTGTAGATGACTGAAATGATGGCCTTATGAGGAACTCTACATAGTAGTGGCATAGTAGTAAATAAACATACGTGGCACTGGTTTTCAAAATCTAACCAAATTGATATGCTATTACCTTTTAAAGATATGTCGTACATTTAGTCTTTTTTTTTTTTTTTTTTTTTTTTTTTTTTTTTTTTTTTTTTTTTTTTTTTTTTTGTGGAGACAGTCTCGCTCTGTCGCCCAGGCTGGAGTGCAGTGACGCGATCTCGGCTCACTGCAAGCTCTGCCTCCCGGGTTCACGCCATTCTCCTGCCTCAGCCTCCCGAGTAGCTGGGACTACAGGCGCCCGCCACCACGCGTGGCTAATTTTTTGTATTTTTAGTAGAGACTGGGTTTCACCGTGTTAGCCAGGATGGTCTTGCTCTCCTGGCCTCGTGATCCGCCCGCCTCAGCCTCCTGTAGTGCTGGGATTACACGAGTGAGCCACCGTGCCAGGCCCTCTATTTTCTTATAGTCCTGTACCTATAACATTTTAGGATTTGAAAGTGTCAATGTTAAAATACCCCTTTTAAAGTTTATTCATGGATTCTTCATGTTTCCAAATTAGTCCATGTTCTGTCTACAAACTGCAAGCCTGTGCTTTTGAATATAGGCTCGTGCCTTCTCAGGCTACCCAGAAGCTATTGGTAAATGGGTGGGAGGGGAGCAGGCAGTTGGGGATATGCAGGTGATGTCTGCTCTTGAAAAGAGCCTACAGAAGAGAGGATATTTAGCAATAAAAACCCTGCTGTGACAAGCTAAAGAGTAAAAAATATGTTAGTAGAAATGACTTCCACTTACTGTGAGAAAAAAAGTTATATTTAGGTAATGCCACAAGTTCAGCTCGGCAAATGCTTGAGTTTTATATTTAAATAAGTAGAAGCCCAGCGCGGTGGGTGGCTCACGCCCGTAATCCCAGAATTTTGGGAGGCCAAGGCGGGTGGATCACCTGAGGTCAGGATTTTGAGACTAGCCTGACCAACATAATGAAACCCCATCTCTACTAAAAATACAAAATAATTAGCCAGGAGTGGTGGCGCAAACCTGTATTTCCAGCTACTTAGGAGGCTGAGGCAGGAGAATCACTTGAACAAGGGAGGCGGAGGTTGCAGTGAGCCGAGATCATGCCATTGCACTCCAGCCTGGGTGGCAGAACGAGACTCTGTCTCAAAAAAAAAAAAAAAAGTAAGTAAATAAGTAAATAAATAAATCAATAAAGTAAGTAAGAAAATAAATGACTTATTGGTTAATACATGCAGATTAGTGGAATAATCTTTCAAGATGTGAAGCCCAGTGAAGAGAAACATTAATGTATGCTTGTTGATGAATCAGCAATTACTTCCCTAAGCCTCTTTTCTAACACTTAAACCCTAGAGAGCTCACACATCTGTCACAATACTGTCAAATGAGAAAATGAGTAAATGCATGATCCATTCTATATTTGCTCTAAGGGTTGATTCATAGTTGACAAGAGAACATGCCTCAATTAAAACTATTATTTGTGCATGTGTGTGTATATAAAACCTCAAAGCAAAATCGAGTGTATAATTCAGAGTTTCATGCACACAAAACATTCACTAATCTTGATTAGATAATACATAGTCTTTTGCAACCAAGAGTACTGTATAACTTTTAGTGTCAAATTTGATCACTTCTCTATTTTTCTCACCATATGCATATGTCTACTCTCCACATCCAGCCACATAATTTACTTCTATGTTAGGAGGATTAATTTCTTAATAAAAAATTCATATGGCAGTCACGCTCTGTAAGTTGGTTGCTTCACTCATTTACTAAATGCAAAGGGGGAACTCAAGGCCAAGTAAATAAAGACAGTTTGTTTCTTTAGTAGTTCATAGTGTAACAAGCTGTGTAACTAAAAATTAAGGTTGAACCAATTGTGGGTATCTAAGGGAAAATTAATAAATCAAGGATAAGTTCTGTAGGGGACTGATTTTAACATTAAGAGCTGGCAGAAGAGCAATCTCCAAAGCCACCAGTACTTCATCCTAAAGCGTTTGAAACATCTTTCAGCACCATTGGGTCATAATATTTAAATTTTAAGCATTATATGATAATCCTTATATTCTTACTCCAGCTAATTTTTTTGTAAAAACTTAACAGTCCTATATTTTAGTGTACTGTTACCAAAAACAATAAATGATTTTTATGATATATTTCAGGTTGTCATCTGATAACATTTTAGAAATGATTTTCTATGCTCTGTGTAGAGCATTACAGGACCATTTGCATACATGATGGATTTTTCTTTTCTGAGAAACAATATCATCCTGGTGTTGCCAGTGCTAAAGGTAAGCAAAACCTCTCTTGTAAAAGAACATATTTCATATTGTTTTCTGCCTCCAGTCCAAAAACCTATGCTAAAAGCAGAGTTAAGAGTTGTAATGTCTTGAAATGCTTTCAAACATTAACTGACACCAAGATTTCTAGCCAATAAATGTCTAAAAATCTATTTTTTTTTCTGCTTTAATGAGGCTAAACAGTTTTCCCTGATGAGTGCTACTGAATTTGTGTGGGAGAATTCCAATCCACATTTAATATTCATTGGGCATCAAATTAGAGACTGATATAATTATGAGCCACACCATTTCAGGAAAGATCATTTGGACAATGTATCTGCCTGTTGGCAGAAATTTCTATTCTCCTAATTATTCATTCTTTTGTATACTAACCCTTTTTAATTTCATTTCATTTACATTTACATTTTATTTATTTCGTTTATTTATTTTTTGAGACAGGGTCTTGCTCTGTCATCCAGACTGGAGTGCAGTGGAGCAATCACAGCTCACTGCAGCCTCTACCGGCCCAGGATCAAGTGATCCTTCCACCTTAGCTTTCCGAATAGCCGAGACTACAGGCATGTGCCACCATGCCAGAATTTTTTTTTTTTTTTTTTTTTTTTTTTTTTTTTTTGAGACACAGTCTTGCTCTGTCACCCAGGCTGGAGTGCAGTAGCCCGATCTCGGCTCACTGCAACCTCCGCCTCCTGGGTTCACGCCATTCTCCTGCCTCAACCTCCGGAGTAGCTGGGACTACAGGCTCCCGCAACCACGCCTGGCTAATTTTTTGTATTTTTAGTAGAGACGGGGTTTCACCGTGTTAGCCAGGATGGTCTCGATCGCCTGACCTCATGAACCATCCGCCTTGGCCTCCCAAAGTGCTGGGATTACAGGCGTGAGCCACTGCGCCCGGCCAATTTTTTTTTTTTTTTTTAATTGTAGAGACGGGGTCTCACTATGTTGCCCAGGCTGGTCTCAAACTTCTAGGCTCAAGCGATCTACCCACCCTGGCTTCCCAAGGTGCTGGGATTACAGGTGTGAAGACCCTTATTTTAAAAAGATTATACACATATATATGTATTTATATATGTGTATGCATGTGTGTGTGTTAATGTGCAATATTGTATGCAAACCAGTTTTTGCCCTACATTCTTTAAGTCTAGCTTTGTATTTTCTGGTACTAATAGAAATGAAGTCCATGATGCACCTTTTTCTCCTATGACTCCTTTAAGTAAAATCAAAACTGCTAGGTTATAATGACAAACCTTTGAGCACATCATAAGGATTCTGAATACAAGTATCATTATATTCATGTTATAGCTGAGAATGCCAAGACTTGGAGATATCAAGTGATCTGTACAAGGTAACACACAGTGTTTTCAATTAAACTAAAATATCATGTTTGTTGTTTTGCTTTGATGAGTTTCAATATTTTGAAGCCTTTGAATAATTACTGCAACTTCATCTCTTATCAGTTTCCTTTGGGGCCAATCTACCTTTCCAGCTTGGATACAGTGATCTTACACAGATCTCATGTAAATTATATTATGCACATTGTACGGCATTATCGTTACCTGCCAGGCCCTCAACCTCATTCTTCTTCAACCCTCTACTTTCTCTTTCTTCATGGAAGCACTGCTTCAAAAAGCCTACTATGATTTAGTCTCTTAAATTTTCAATGCTTCTTCTTTTATGTGTCTCTGTTTTCTTTTCCCAGAAGTGTTCATTCTTCATGATATGCTGCTTTGTGGATGATGCACCCATTGACTGTGCCAACTTCATCTAAACCTCTCTGAAGAAAACTTAATGCTAAGCTGAATCCATGTTTAGAACTCAGGTGAATGGTGAAATTAAGGCAGGATGACACCTGGTAATATCTTAGTGTGATTCAAGCAAGAGAAAAGATTAACAGTAATGAGTATCATTTGAGCTATTCATAAAGGTTTGCCAGAGAGAAAGATAAACATTTTCCTTTATAACCATAGGGAGGTATATAAATTTTCTAAAAATAAATTATGTGTTCAAATTACTTTTCTTTTTAGCACTACTGTATTTTATGATGACAGATTCATAGCAGATATGGATATTAGTGAATGATCATGTCTAGTAAGGACAGGCAGTATTCTGTGTAGTAAAAATAATACCTTGTATCTATCTATTGTTTCATAATGTGTGGACCAATTTCACAGTCATTATCTTATTTGCTCCTCAGGACATCCCTGAGAGAAAAGAAAAAAAATTTTACAGGGTGTGTACTTCATAAGTTTTCTTTCTCTACCAGATTAGCATAAACATCTTTTCCATACCTGTCTCATATGCTTTAAGTTTTTATTTCATATTTTTGTAAGTTATAATCACAAGCTTTGGAGAAATAGATATTATTATCTATTTCAATGGGGATGTTATTTTAATTTAGCTCAAAAATAATAAATAAAAGAGACATAGAAATTCAAGTGTTTCAGCTTCTTAAAGAGAATCCAATGCTATATGATTGTCTCCATCATGCCATTTAATAGAAAAATCCTAAAATTTTGTTTGCACAGCTCTAAGAGGATCTTTTTAGTAAACAATAGCTATTTTGTTTGAACTCATAAGCCATAATGAAAGAATATAGACTCCATGGTAGATGATCTATGGTTTTAGGTTCCTTAATGGAGAAATTTGGGACAAACAAAGGGATAGAGAAGCATTCTGCAGGCATTGCTAAGAGAATAGCAGTAAGCTGCATATTGCTTTGCCACAGATCATATTGGAGCGGTTGAGATTTCGCTGCCTTGAAGCAGGTTATATTACAGTCCATTTATTTGCCAGGGTAGGATTTTATTAGCAACCAGTTGCAGGCCTTGCATGAGAATGAATCATCTCACAGAATGAGCGTGAAAGACTAATGGAGTTCAAAATCAACACTGTGTTTGAAAGCTTTAGCCCAGGCTCAGTGAGGTGAGGAGGTTACAGTTAATGCTCCATTCTGCTCTGCTCAGATGAAGCTGATAACAAATACTACATGTGTGTATGTGTTTGCATCTGTCTGTTGATGCTGAATATTAGCTTTCTATCTTTTGTAGCTTATCCACAGGTTTGTGGTGATGATAAAGCAAGGTTGCAGCCAGTCATGAAAGGGAAATTGTAACTTTAATTATTTTAGAAGAGAGAAAAAACATAACAGTGTTAGGCATTTGTTGTAAAATGCTGGAATTGCACAAAGGCATTTATAGCTAACTCAACCTCTCTGTGCCACTGAGGGTCAGTTGCCAAAAGAAAACAAATATGTAAAATGTGATCGAATTATCCTAAGGGAGCATTCTACATTTGTATACTAATATTTTAATGACATTGTCTATAAGAGTAGTAAAATCCTGCTAAATTTAAAAAAAAGTTTAAATGTTATTCTAGATTGAAAACAACTCTACTTATTTTTGAAGACTATCTAGATAAGACTATATACAGCAGGGAAAATAAATCTTGTATAGGAGCCAGGCGCTGTGTCCCATGCCTGTGATCCCAGCAATTTGGGAGGCCAAGGCGGGTGGATTGCTTGAGCCCAGGAGTTTGAGACCAGCCTTGGCAATGTGGCAAAACTATATCTCTACTAAAAATACAAAAATTAGCTTGGTCTGGTGGAGTACATCTGTAGTCCCAGATACTAGGGGGGCTGAGGCACGAGAATCTCTTGAACCAGGGAGGCGGAGGTTGCAGTGAGCTGAGATAACGCCACTGCACTACAGCCTGGGCAACAGACTTGGTCTCAGACAAAACAAAACAAAACAAAAATCCTGTATAACTCTTATGAGAGGTTTAAGGATATTTAAATAGTTGCTTGCCCTGAGTTCCTGATTTTTCATACACTCCAGGAATCAGTGGTGAAGAATAACTTGAATCTCATTCAGATAAAATGTAACACATATCACAGATTTAGTTTTCTATTTTATCTCAGGGGTGGGGCATTAGAAGGCAGTTTCTAGAGAGGGGCAAAGGAGGATGGAAGTCTCATGGTGAAAAATGGTTCTGGCAGGGTCAGTAGGTTCAGCAGCAGCTCTGAGAGTTGTAAGTAGTGGTCACTGGTATGATGTGGCATCGCATTTGAACACGTTTACACAACTTCAGAACAAATATCACATATTTTCGAACACTGCTTGTTCTAAAAAGGAGAGTACTAGGAGATTTAAAAAACAAAAGCATAAAAGACTCTTCTAAAAGACTCATTACCTTGGCTGCTTCACCTCAACACCTTAAAAAGGCTGTAATCTAGAAAACAAAGAGGTTTGCCAGCAAGACAGAAAAGGAATGAGTTACAAAGCATTATTAGAAGATTCAAGAATGAAAAAACAAACAAAAAAACTAAGCAGCAACAACAGGAAAGCAGTAGCAAAGTGTACTGCTTGGGTGGTTGAGTCGAGTGTTGATGACATTTTCAAAGCTCAGGAGATATGTAGGCAGTCAATGGAGAGAGATACCAAACACAAGTGATAACACAACAGTGGTCGCCCTTGCAATTGGCTGCTATGGAAGAAAAACTACCACCCCACCTTGAAGAGTCCTAGAGAATAATCAATGTGGGTAATGTGTAAGGCCTATCTCTTGGCAGTTTGTAGTTATTAATACATATGATGTATGTCCTACCTACTAAAGTGATCTTCCTTCAGACTGCAGACCAGTGGATCCCTGAACCTTACAATGGGTACTTCAGCCTTGCAGCCAGCAGTTCTCTTAACAGTTCATTGTAATAAAAGATCTTCCCAGACACCTGTCCTTATCTTCAAATTACATAACCTGAGGGACTCAATCCTTTTGAAAAGCTGAACTAGTTCATAACTCTAATCATAAAGAATCTTTCCAAACACAGAGTAACTTACTTTCCATGTACAACCTGAAAAATCATATTTTTTCACATAATTTCAAAACTCTATTTCAACTCTCTCTCTGGATGTTTCTATTCTCTCCTTGCCTGTGATAAAATACAGTTCTTCCCTGAAGATTTGCTCATGCCCGCTCTTAAAGAAACAGCTGTGTGTTCATAGTCCTTAAACCTGAGGGTCAGAAGATGGAGCTGATTTTCATCATCCTTACATGCACTGGACCTCCCAGGCCATTATTTTCTGACCTTCTTAGAAAACATTTAGTACTGAGTTCACCGAATACCCTCTGCCTTTTTTTATCCTGCCATTTCTCAGCCTCTGTGCTATTCCTCTTGATTCGGCAAAGATTTTGGCAACTGGATCATATTATTTTTTATACTAAACCTGGCATTATGTTGAGTGATTAATATCTGTTTTAGTATCTAAGTAAGTAAGACATTTTTGTCTTTTCACCAAACACTCTTTGACCCTCTTTCTTACCTAACCACTTCATTGGCCACATCTTGTACGCTGTAACTGCACATTTCTGATTAATCTCTAAATATCTCTTTGTCATGCTGCTATCATGAACTTTGTAGACTTTCCCAGTTTGCTTGTACAACTACTCCCACTTCAATATTGTACAGCTTTATTGAAACTTCTGGTTTACCATCATTCTATCTTCTCCAAATCCTTTTGTCAAGTTTATTTTGTGTCCCAGAGCATTTATCTTACTATCATACTATGTTCTCCATTTCAGGAAGCACAACACATCATTAAGACTATTGACTTTGTAGCCACATCTGGGTTCAAACCCCATGCCTGAAACTTCCTCAACAGTGACCCTTGTGCTTAGATTTCTGTTCCTCAGTTTTCTCAACTATAGAACTTACTTCAAAGGATAATTATCATTATCTGAAATTATACATTTCTGACAAAACAATAAGTTCCCTTGTTCATTTTTTTTTTTACCCCACCTCCATGGAAAAACTCAAAACATGGATTAAACTGATGGTTAATTTTAAGCATAACTGTATCTAACTAGATTATACTTGCTGGAACAACTTATATATTTGGTACCACTGCAAATTTATGGTCTCCAAACTCAGGCTTTTGTTATCCTCCAGCCATTCTATTATTTCTCTTTTCAGCCAACTCTCACCCTGTCCACTCCAACAAATTAATTATTCACTTTTCCCAAATTCTTCTGCATTTAATAACATTTCTCTCCACATTTTAGTTAAATGATGTTGTACTCTTCACAAAGAACACTTAAAGGGCAATGCACCATTGGGCATGGGTTCTATTAATGCCCCTCCAATAAACAATCTTTTAACTGTGTTTCTATGTATACCTCATTGCTACGTCCTGTAACAGAAGGGATGCCCTTCTTACTGTGCAAGCATCTCCTCTCTCATCTTAGGTGAGTACACTACATACTTTTTGTTTAGTGTGTGTTTATTAACTACTGTCTCTTAACTGGACCCTGTCCATTGCCTTTAAGGGTTTCACATGCCTTTCTGCATAAGGAAACAATAAACAAGCACCCATCCCTAACCCCTAGACACCAATTTCTATCTCTTTCTTATGCTCTCTCAAGGAAACCTGGAAATAATTGTCTCTTCTTACTCTTTATTTCATCACTTCTCATTCACTGCTTAATTCACTTCAGTTTGGCTTCTGACAAATTTTGCTCTCATAAAAGTATCAATTTTTTTTCTTTGACTCATAGGCAGAATTCACTGATGTTTTCTTTTTGAGAATGATTTATTCACTTAACTTTAGTGACACTACACCCCCTCGGTATCCTCACACCTCTCAGTTATTATTTATCTTTCTCTCTTATAGACTGATTCTCATCTATTAAACTTTTACATGTTGAAGTTTTTTAAGATTTGGCCATACGCTCTCTTCTCAGTCTGTAATCTCTCTATAAAATTACATTATTTTACTATTTAACATGTAAAGTTTAAATGACTCATGATTTTATATTTTTAGTTTGTGCCCCATCTGAAGTCTGTTTCCTTATATCCACTTTAAATCTATTGTTGGCAACTACCGTGTCACTTAAAATGCAACATATGTGCAAAGAAACTCCTGATCATTCCCTCTACACCTGGATTTCTTTCCCTATTTTTTTTTTCTCTCTCTGTCTCCAGGCTAGAGTGCAGTGGTCTGATTTCAGCTCACTGCAACCTCAACCTCCCAGATTCAAGCGATTGTCCTGCCTCAGCCTCCCGAGTAGCTGGGATCACAGATGCCCACTACCACGCCTGGCTAACTGTTTTTCTTTTTTAAAATATTTTTAGTACAGACAAGGTTTTACCATGCTGGCCAGCCTGGTCTCGAACTCACGGCCTCAGGCGATCAGCCCACCTCAGCCTCAGGGATTAGAGGTGTGAGCCACCGTGCCCAGTCCTGTATTTCTTTTCTAATAAGCAGCAACACCATTCATTCAGTTGTGTAAGTCAAAACCTAAGAATCTATTTGTGTTTTCCGCCCCCCACTCATTTCCCATATTAAATTCCTCTCTCATTTCTTGAACTCATCTGCCAATATATCTTAATGCTTTTCTATAGCTCTTTTTAACATTTCCTATTCCAGGGTCCCATCACCTCTCATTTATATTGTTTATATAACCTATAAACAAGTTCCTCCACATCAACTCTTGCCCCTGTTCAATCAGTTCTCCTTAAAGCAATCATAGTGATCATTTGCCTTTTCAAAAACACATCTCATCATATCACTCCACTTTCTCTCCTGCTCAGAACTCTTTGGTAGTTTCCAAATATCCTCAAAATAAAGGTCAAAATCCTTAACATGGTTTAGAAACTAAGGCATAATCTTAATCTGCTGTAAAACTTCTCTCTTCCACCCTCCTACCCTCCCCTCCTCTCCTTTTCCCTCCCCTCGCTTTCCCTCCCTTCCCTCACCTTCTCTCTCCTTCCTTCCCCTTCTCTCCCCTTCCTTCCCCTCCCCTCCCCTTTCCTTTCCTAATGAGGTTTCGCTCTGTCATGAAGGTTGGAATCCAATGGTGTGGCTTCGGCTCACTGCAACCACTTCCTCCCAGGCTCAAGTGATCCTTCCACCTTAGCCTCCCAAGTAGCTGGGACCACAGACACATGCCACCACACCTGGCAATTTTTTTTGTCTATTTTAGATAGAGATTGGGTTTTACCATGTTGCCCAGGCCGGTCTCAAACTCCTGAGCTCAGGTTATCCACCTGCCTCAGCCTCCCAAAGTGCTGGGATTACAGGTGTGAGCCACTGCACCTGGCCTAAAACTTCAATATCATTTCAGAGGATGCCTCAACTTTCTCTTTGGGCTCTTATCATTTTGGTCTTCACAAAAGTGACATATCTCATTCTAATTATTGGAAAGGGAAGTAACATTTCACCTTTATCTTTAACATTCTTTTCTCCTATTTTCATCTAGATAATTTCAGATTATTCTTCAAATGTCCTTTCTTCCAGTGATGCTATCAACAACAACAAAAAAATCCTGCCTTAACCCTATTAGATGATTTTGGGCCTTCTACCTACTCGTCTTATTGTCCTATGCAGCTTTATTTAGTAGCACTTATATTTACAATTACTACTTTACACATATTGGCATGAAATTAATATAAGTTTCTATATTTAAGTAAATGGTTTCCGAGGACAGTGAAGGTATTTGCTGTTGCTCACTGTTGTATTTACAGATTCTTGCTCTTTCTTCCTCTAAAACTATTCTTTAGTTTAATGAACAATTTTAGTGTTTTTTGATCTGTCTATGTGCCCACATCAGAAACTGTTTGGGTGAACTTTATTGTCCAATAGTCTTATGTTTAACCTCTGTTGAGGTTTCTCAGGGATCCTTAAATAAATGGAACCTCTATTGCCTACCCAGACTATCAACATCTATAAAATGTTATGCACAAAAGAAAAGCATGGAAGACTGGGGAAAAAAATAATTAACTACATTGATATTATTTAGATAGGTAAGCATGGCTTTAGGTTACTCACCAGATAGTCTTTCTAATGCTGATCCTGCAAACTAGTCTTACCCACCTAATCAGCCAGTGGTAAATTATGCAAACATGCTAGAAAGAAAGAGCCTTGAGAAAAAGAGTGGAAGAAATATCCCTGAAGGTCACACTTACCTAATAGGAAGAAGGAGAGTTAAGCCAAACGTTACAAGTTATTACTTCTATAATTATGAAATAGATGATTTGGTCTATGTATGGACCAAACATTGTCCAAAGTGTGAACATTGTCCTCAAATGTTCAAGGCAGTCTTTATTCAATCTCAGTTTTCTAATTTCCACACTCACTGAGAATATACAGTATCTGAGCCATGCATTCCTCAACATTATTTTTCTTTATTTCTAATATTTATTTATTTTTAATATGTCTATCTATTCTTTCCTGTATCTTTTATTCTATCCTATCTTAGAAAAAGAACGGCTGTGCTGTCAATCCCTTCCTTCTTGCCTCCCTCCTCCACCAATCATCCCTTTTAATCAGATTAGCAATCTCTTCCTTTCACTTTGCCTCTGCTAGCAATTAGGCTTAAATCACTCTCCCATGCCCAACTAAACATTGCCCTATTTTTTTCTTTCCTTTCATCACTAACTTTTAACTTATTTAAACATCACTTTAAGCATTGCATCTATTTCTTCATGTCTGGTAGTAACAACATTTTTCATTGAAGAATCTGTTTACTGGAAGAAATAAACCAGTTTTTATTATGTTGACATGATATTATCAATGAATAATGCATCACAAACTGTATTTTATACTTTATTTGACAGTTTAAATGGAATATTAAACACTTAAAAGGTATAGTCAATTCACACAGTGTGATCTGCTCTCTCAGCAGTACTTGAGTTAAAACCAGTCATTTATAAAGTAATTTTTTTCTTTTTAAACTTTTATTTTAGAATCAGAGGGTATATTTGCGGTTTTATTAGAAACATATTGCGTGATGCTGAAGTTTAGAAGATGGTTGAAGCTGTTGTCCAGGTAAGGAGCATGGTACCAAACAGGCAGTTGTTCAGCTCTTACCCCTCTCCCTCTTTCTCCTCTAGTAGTCTCTAGAATTTATTTTTTCCAATTTTATGACCACGTGCACCTAAAGTTTAGTTCCCACTAATAAGTAAGAACGTGCAGTATTTGGTTTTCCATTTCTGTGTTAGTTCACTTAGGATAATGGCCTCCAGCTGCATTCATGTTGCTGCAAAGGACGTAATTTCATTCTTTTTATGTTACATAGTATTCTATGATCTATATGACCAGTGGGTAAATTTTTTTTTCAATAGCTTTTGGGTACAAGTTTGTTTGTTTGTTTGTTTGTTGTTATGGATAAACTTTACAGTGGTGAATTCTGAGCTTTTAGTGCACCTGTCATCCAAGTAGTAGACATTGTATCTAATGTGTGGTTTTTTCATCCCTAGCCCCCCTGCCATCCTTTTCCTTCTGAGTCTCTTAAGTCCATTATATTACTCTGTATGCCTTCACTTGCTCATAGCTTTGCTTCCACTTATAAGTGTCAATGCACGGTTTTTGGTTTTCTACTCCTATGTTACTTCACTCAGAATAATGGCCTCCAGCTCCATCCTAGCTTCTGCAAAAGACTTTATTTCATTCCTTTTAATGGCTGAGTAGTAATCCATGGTGTGTATACACTATATTTTCTTTATCCACTCATTAGTCGATGGACACTTAGGTTGGTTCCACATCTTTGTAATTCCAAATTGTGCAAGTTTCTTTTTCATATAATGACTTCTTTTCCTTTGGATGGATAATCAATAGCGGGATTGCTGGATCAACTTGTAGATCTACTTTTAGCAGTTCAAAAAATCTCTATACTTTTTTCCATAGAGGTTGTACTAATTTACGTTCCCACCAGAAGTGTATAAGTGTTCCTTTTGCCCTACATTCATGTCAGCATCTATTAGTTTTTGACTTTTTAATAGTGGCCATTTTTGTAGGAGTAAGGGGGTATCTCATTGTGGTTTTAATTTGCATTTCCCTGATGATTAGTGGTGTTGAGCATTTTTTTGGATGTTTATTGGCCGTTTGTATATCTTCTTTTGAGAAATGTCTATTCGTGTCCTTTGCCCACTTTTTATTGGGATTATTTGTGCTTTTTCTTTTTTTTTTTTTTAGAGATTTGCTTGAGTTCCTTGTAGGTTCTGGATACTAGTCCTTTGTCAGATGCACAGTTTGCAAATATTTTCTCCCATTCTATGAGTTGTCTATTTACTCTGTTAATTATTTCTTTTCCTTTGCAGAAGATTTTTAGGTTAATTAGGTCCCATTTATTGATTTTATTTTTGTTGGACTTGCTTCTGGAGTATTAGTAATAAATTCTTTGCCAAGGCTGATGTCTATAAGAGTTTTTGCAGCAGTGTCTTCTAGAATTTTTATGGTTTTAGGTCTTATATTTAAGTGTTTTATCCATCTTGAGTTGATTTTTGTATAAGGTGAGAGATAGAGATCCAGTTTTATTCTTCTACATGTGGCTTGCCAGTTTTCCTAGTACCATTCATTAAATAGAGTGTCCACTCCCCAATTTATGTTTCTGTGTGCTTTGTCAAAGATCAGTTTGCTGTACATATTTGGCTTTATTTCTGGGTTCTCTATTATATTCCATTGGTCTATGTGCTTACTTTTACACCAGTATCATGCTGTTTTGATAACTATGGCCTTGTAGTATAATTTGAAGTCTGGTAATGTGATGCTTCCAGATTTGTTCGTTTTATTTAGGATTATTTTGGCTATTCAAGTTATTTTTTGGTTCCATATGCATTTTAGAATTGTTTTTTCTAATTTATGAAAAATTACATTGGATTTTCATTGGAATTGCATTAAATCTGAAGATTTCTTTGGGCAGTATGGTTATTTTCACAATATTGATTCTTCCAATCTATGAGCATGGGATGTGTTTCCAATTGTTTGTGTCATTTATTATTTCTTCACCAGTGTTTTACAGTTCTCCTGGTAGAGATCTTTCACGTTGTTGGTTAAGTATATTCCTATGTTTGGTTTCATTTTTTTGGCAGCTGTTGTAAAAGGTATTGAGTTCTTGATTGGATTATCAGCTTGGTTGTTGCTGTAGTATAGCAGTGCTACTGATTTGTGTACATTGATTTTGTAACTTGAGACTTTACTGAATTTGTTTATCAAATCTAAGAGTCTTCTGGAGGAGTCTTTAGGATTTTCTAGGTATACAATCATATAATCTGCAAATAGCAATAGTTTGATTTCCTCTTTTCCAATTTGGATGCATTTCTTTCTCTTGCCTAATTTCTCTGGCTAGTATTTCCAGAAATATGTTGAATAAAAGTAATGAAACTGGGCATCCTTGTCTTGTTCCTATTCTTGGGGGTAATGCTTTCAACTTTTCTCCATTCAGTGTGATGTTAGATGTGGGTTTGTCATATATGGCTTTTCATTATTTTGAGATGGGTCTCTTCTACGCCTAGTTTATTTTCAGCTTTTATTATAAAGGGATGCTGGATTTCGTTGAATGCTTTTTCTGCAACTATTGAGATGATCTTATGGTTTTTATTTGAATTCTGTTTATGTGAGGTATCATATTTATTGGCATATGTACGTGTGTGTATATATATATATTAAACTATCCCTGCATCCATGGGATGAAACCCACTTGAACATTATATATTATCTTTTTGATGTGCTGTTGGATTTGGTTAGCTGGTATCTTGTTGAAGACTTTTGCATCTATGTTCATCAGGGAAATTGGCCTGTAGTTTTCTTTTTTTGTTTTGTCCTTTCCTGGTTTTGGTATCAGAGTGATACTAGGTTTATCGAATGATTTAGGGAGGATTCCTTCTTTCTCAATCTTTTGGAATAGTTTCAGCAGGATTCTAATACCTTTTCTTTGAGTGTCTGAAAGAATTCAGCTGTAAATCTGTCTGGTCTTGGGCCTTGTTGTTGCTGGCAGTTTTTAAATTACTGACTCAATCTTACTGCTTGTTATTGGTCTGTTCAAAGTTTCTATTTTTTTCCTAATTTAACAGAGGAGGATTGTATATTTCCAGGAATTTGACCATTTCTTCTAGTTTATCTAGTTTCTGCACAAAGGGGTGTTGATAGTAGTTTCAAATAATCTTTTGTATTTCTGTGGTGTCGTTTGTAATGTATTCAGTTTCATTTCTAATTGAGCTTATTTGGATCTTCTTTTTTCTATGCACCATGTTTTCTTTATCTGACCCACTGTTGATGAGCACCTTGATTGATTTCACAGTTTTATTATTATAAATAGTGCTGCAATGAACATATGGGTGACTGTTTCTTTTGGTAGAAACAATTATTTTCCTTTGGGTATATACCCAGTAATGGGATTGCTGGGTAAAATGGTAGTTTGACTCTTAGTTCTTTGAGAAATTCCCAAATTGCTTTCCACAGTAGCTGAACTAATTTACATTCCCACCAACAGTGTTTAAGTTTTGCCTTTTCTGTGTGGCTTTACCAACAGCTGTTATTTTCTGATTTTTTAGCCAAGGTCATTCTGACTAGTAGAAGATGGTATCTCATTGTGGTTTTGATTTAAATTTCTCTGATGATTTATGATAATGAGTGTTTTTTCAGGTGTTTATTGACTGCTTGTATGTCCTGTTTTTGAGAAGGATCTGTTGATGTCCTTTGCCAACTTTATTATGGAATTATTTGCTTTTCAGCTGCTTATTTAAGTTCCTTGTAGATGCTGGAAATTATGCTTTTGTTAGATGTGGAATTTATGAATATTTTCCACCATCCTGTAGGTTGTCTCTTCACTCCCTTGATTGTTTATCTTGCTGTGCATTAGCTCTTTAGTTTAATTAGGTCCCAGTTACCAATATTTGTTTTTCTTTCAATTGCTTTTTAAAAATGCTTTTCTCTTTCTTTGTTTTTTTGTTTATTTTTTATTTCCTTAGTTTTCGTGGAACAAGTGGTGTCTGGTTACATGAGTAAATTTTTTAGTGGTGATTTGTGAGATTTCAGTGCACCCATCACCCGAGCAGTACACACTATGCCCAGTTATTCTTTTATCTTTTAGTCTTTTATCCCTCACCCCCCTCCCATCCTTTCCCTTAAGTCCCCAACATCCGTTGTATCATTCTTATGCTTTTGCATTCCCATAACTTAGCTCCCACTTATGAGTGAGAACATACGATGTTTGGTTTTCCATTCCTGTTCTTACTTCACTTAGAATGATGGTCTCCAATTCCATCCAGGTTTCTGTGAATGCCATTATTTCATTCCTTTTTATGGCTGAATAGTATTCCATGGTATACATATATGCCATGGTATATTTAGTATTCCATGGTATATATAGTATTCCATGGTGTATATTCCATGGTGTATATATATATATATATATATATATATATATGTATATATATATATATATATATATACACCATGGAATACTATTATATATCTATATATGTATATACGTGTGTGTGTGTGTGTGTGTGTGTGTGTGTGTGTGTATACATATCACAACTTCTTACCCACTCATTGATTGATGGGCATTTGGGCAGTTTTACATTTTTGCATTTGCTAGAAACATGCATGTGCAAGTATCTTTTTCATATAATGGCTGCTTTTTCTCTAGGTAGATACCCCGTAGTAGGATTGCTGGATCAAATGATAGGCAGCAGAGTAAACAGACAACTTGAAGAGTGGGAGAAAATCTTCACAATCTATATACATCCAGCAAAGAACTAATATCCAGAGTTTACAAGGAACTCAAACAAATTAAAAAGAAAAAAATATCCCATATAAAAATAGGCTAAGGACATGAATAGACAATTCTCAAAAGAAGATATACAAATGACCAAGAAATATATGAAAAAATGCTCAACATCACTAATGATCTCCTGCAAGAATGGCCATAATCAAAAAATCAAAAAGTAATAGATGTTGGCAGAGATGCAGTTAAAGGGGAACACTTTTACATCGCTGGTGGGAATGTAAACTAGTACAACCCCTATGGAAAACAGTGTGGAGATTCCTTAAAGAACTAAATGTTTTGATTGCTTTTAAGGACTTACATGTACATTTTTTACCAAGGCCAATATTAAGAAGGATATTTCTTAAATTTTCTTCTGGAATTTTTATGGTTTTAGGTTATACACTTAAGTCTTCAATCCATCTTGAGTTAATTTCTGTATATGTTAATAGGTAGGGGTCCAGTTCTTCTGCATCTGAGTAGCCAGTTATCCCAGCATCATTTATTGAGTAAGGAGTTCTTTCACTATTGTTTATTTTTTCTAAGTTTGTTGACAATCAGATAGTTGTAGGTGTGCGGCTTTATTTATGAGTTCTCTATGCTGTTTCACTGATCTATATGTCTGTTTTTAATACAAATACCATACTGTTTTGGTTAAGTTACGTTTCTAGTATAGTTTGAAGTTGAGTATTGTGATGCCTCCAGCTTTGTTCTTTTTGCTTAGGATTGCTTTGTCTATTTAGGCTCTTTTTGGTTCTCTATAAATTTTAGCATAGTTTTTTGTTTTCAAATTCTGCGACAAATGACATTTGTAGTTTTATAGGAATAGCATTGAATCTGTAAACTGCTTCAGCAGTATGACCATTTTAATGACAGTGATTCTTCCCCTCCATTAGCATGGAATGTTTTTCCATTTGTTTGTGTCATCTCTGATTTCTTTCAGCAATGTTTTGTACTTCTCCTTATAATGATACTTTACCTCCTTAGTTAGATGTATCCCTAGAAGCTTTGTTTGTGGGTGTGTGGCTGTTGTAAATATAATTGGATTATTGATTTGACCCTCAGCTTGAACAGTATTGGTGTACTAATATACTACTGATTTTTATTAATACAACAACATAACAGAATGCATTCATCTTAATATCACTGTAATAACCATCATTTGATTCTCTTCTGCAGTTTTACTACCAGCATTTGTACAAATTTCACAGCCCTGATAAATAGAAAAGTTGACTATAGCATTAGATAAACAGGCACTATTGGCTATAGTGTAGCATATTACATAAGTCACAGAAATATCACAGCTTGTGCAAGATGTTGATAGGTTAAGAGCGTTTGTCAGATGATATTCTATTGTTTTTTTTTCCTTGTCCTGGTGCTCACATCTACCTTGACCAAGGACATCTTACACCATATAACTGAAAATGTAAACTTTCTTATTTATGTTATTATTATTATTTTATTTTACTGTAAGTTCTGGGATACATGTGCAGATCACACAGGTTTGTTACACAGGCATATATGTACCATGGTGCTATGGTGCACCCATCAACCCATCATCTAGGTTTTAAGCCCCGCATGCATTAGGTGTTTGTCTTAATGCTCTCCCTCCCCTAGATCCCTACCCCTGACAGGCCTCAGTTTATGATGTTCCCCTCCTTGTGTCCATGTGCTCTCATTGTTCAGCTCCCACTTATGAGTAAGGATATGTGGTGTTTGGTTTTCTGTTTCTGTGTTAGTTTGCTGAGAATGATGGCTTCTAGCTTCATCCATGTCCCTGCAAAGGACATTAACTCATCATTTTTTATGGCTGCAGAGTATTCCATGGTGTATATGTGCCACATTTTCTTTATCAAGTCTATCATTTATGGGCATTTGGATTGGTTCCAAGTCTTTGCTATTGTAAATAGTGCTGCAATAAATATATGTGCACATGTGTCTTTATAGTAGAATGGTTTATAATCCTTTGGGTATACACCGAGTAATGGGATTGATGGGTCAAATGGTATTTCTGGTTCTAGATCCTTGAGGAATCGCCACACAGTCCTCCACAATGGGTGAACTAATTTACACTCCTGCCAACAGTGTAGAAGCATTCTTATTTCTCCACATCCTCTCCAGCATCTGTTGTTTCTTGACTTTTTAATGATCACCACTCTAACCGACATGGGATGGTATCTCATTATGATTTTGATTTGCATGTCTCTTATGACTAGTGATGATGAGCTTTTCTCATACGTTTTTTGGGCACATAAATATCCTCTTTTGAGAAGTGTCAGTTCATATCATTTGCCCACTTTCTGATGGAGTTTTTTTTTTTTCTTGTAAATTTATTTAAGTTCCTTGTAGATTCTGGATATTAGACCTTCGTCAGAAGGGTAGCTTGAAAAATTTTCTCCCATTATGTAGGTTGCCTGTTCACTCTGATGATAGTTTTTTTGTTTGTTTGTTTGTTTGTTTTGTTTTTTGGCTCTGCAGAAGCTCTTTAGTTTAATTAGATCCCATTTGTCAATTTAGGCTTTTGTTGCAATTGCTTTTTGTGTTTTAGTCATGATGTCTTTGCCCATACCTATGCCCTGAAAGGTATTGCCTAGGTATTCTTCTAGGGTTTTTATGGTTTTGGATTTTACATTTAAGTCTTTAATCCATCTTCAGTTAATTTTTGCATAAGGTGTAAGGAAGGGGTCCAGTTTCTGTTTTATGCATATGGCTAGCCAGTTTTCCCAGCACCATTTATTAAATAGAGAAACCTTTCCCCATTGCTTGTTTTTGTCAGGTTTGTTGAAGACCAGATGGTTGTAGATATGTGGTGTTATTTCTGAGGTCTCTGTTCTGTTTCATTGTTCTATATGTCTGTGTTGGTATCAGTACCATGCTGTTTTGGTTACTGTAGCCTTGTAGTGTAGTTTGAAGTCAGGTAGCGTGATGCCTGCAGCTCTGTTCTTTTTGCTTAGAATTGTCTTGGCTATACAAGGTCATTTTTAGTTCCATATGAAATTTAAAGTAATTTTTTCTAATTCTGCAAAGAAAGTCAATGGTAGCTTGATGGGAATAGCATTGAATCTATAAATTACTTTTGGCAGTATGGCAATTTTCACAATATTGATTCTTCCTATCCATGAGCATGGAATGCTTTCCCATTTGATTATGTCTGCTCTTATTTCTTAGAGCAGTTGTTTGTAGTTCTCCTTGAAGAGGTCCTTTATGACCCTCGTAAGTTGTATTCCTAGGTATTTTATTCTCTTTGTAGCAATTGTAAATGGGAGTTCACTCATGACTTGGCTCTCTGCTTGCCTGTTGTTGGTGTATAGGAATGCACACTGATTTTGTATCCTGAGACTTTGCTTAAGTTGCTTATCAGCTTAAGGAGACTTTGGGCTAAGACGATGGGTTTTCTAAATATATAATCATGTCGCCTGCAAACGGAGACAATTTGACTTCCTCTCTTCCTATCTGAATACCTTTTATTTCTTTCTCTTGCCTGATTGCCCCGTCCAGAACTTCCAATAGTATGTTGAATAGGAGTGGTGGGAGAGGGTCCTTGTCTCGTGCCAGTTTTCAAAGGCAACATTTCCAGCATTTGCCCATTTAGTATGATATTAGCTATGGGTTTGTCATAAATAGCTCTTATTATTTTGAGATATGTTCCATCAATCTCTAGTTTTTCGAGAGTTTTTATCATGAAGGGATGTTGAATTTTATTGAAGGCCTTTTCTACGTCTATTGAGATCATCATGTGGTTTTTGTCAATGGTTCTGTTTATGTAATGGATTACATTTATTGATCTTCATATGTTGAACCAGTCTTGCATCCCAGGGATGAAGCCAACTTGATCATGGTGGATAAGCTTTTTGATGTGCTGCTGGATTCAGTTTTCCAGTAGTTTATTGTGGATTTTTGCATCGATGTTCATCATGGATACTGGCCTGAAATTTTTCTTCTTTTGTTTTGTCTCTGCCAGGTTTTGGTAACAGGATGATGAAGGTCACACAAAATGAATTAGGGAAAAGTCTCTATATTTCTATTGTTTGGAATACTTTCAGAAGGAATGGTACCAGCTTCACTGTACCTCTGGTAGAATTTGGCTATGAATCTGTCTGATCCTGGGCTTTTTTTGGTTGGTAGGCTATTAGTTACAGTGTCAATTTCAGAACTTGTTATTGGTCTATTCAGGGATTCGACTTCTTCCTGGTTTAGTCTTGAGAGGGTGTATGTGTCCAGGAATTTATACATTTCTTCTAGATTTTCTAGTTTATTTGCATAGAGATGTTTACAGTATTCTCTGATGGTAGCTTGTATTTATGTGTGATCAGTGGTTATATCATCTTTATCAATTTATATTTTTCTATTTGATTCTTCTCTCTTTTCTTCTTCATTTGTCTAGCTAGCAGTCCATCTATTTGTTAATCTTTTCAAAAAACCAGCTCCTGCATTCATTGATATTTTGAAGGGTTTTCCATGTTTCTATCTCCTTCAGTTCTGCTCTGATCTTAGTTATTTCTTGTCGTCTGCTAGCTCTTGAATTTGTTTGCTCTTGCTTCTCCAGTTCTTTTAATTGTGATGTTGGGGTGTTGGTTTTAGATCTTTCCATCTTTCCAATGTGGGCATTTAGTGCTATAAATTTTCATCTTACCACTCTTTAGCTGTATTCCAGAGATACTGGTACATTGTGTCTTTGTTCTCATTGGTTTCAAAGAACTTCGTTATTTCTGCCTTAATTTCGTTATTTACCCAGTAGTCATTTAGGAGCAAGTTGTTCAGTTTCCATGTAGTTGTGTGGTTTTGAGTGACTTTCTTAATCCTGAGTTCTAATTTGATTGCACTGTGGTCTTAGAGACTGTTTCTCATGATTTCACTTATTCTGCATTTGCTGAGGAGTGTTTTACTTCCAATTATGTGGTCGATTTTAGAATACGTGCTATGTGGCACTGAGAAGAATGTATATTATGTTGATTTGGGGTGGAGAGATCTGCAGATGTCTATTAGGTCCACTTGGTCTAGAGCTGAGATCAAGTTTTGAATATCCTTGGTGATTTTCTGTCTCATTGATCCAATATTGACAGTGGGGTGTTAAAGTCTCCCACTATTATTGTGTGGGAGTCTTAGTCTCTTTGTAAGTCTCCAGGAACTTGTTTTATGGATCTGGGTGCTGCTGTATTGGGCGCATATGTATTTAGGATAGTTAGCTCTTCTTGTACCATTGATCCCTTTATCATTATGTAATGCCCTTCTTTGTCTTTTTTTTTTTTATCTTTGTGGGTTTAAAATCTGTTTTATGAGAGACTAGGATTGCAACCCCTGCTCTTTTTATTTTTTTTCTTTTTTGCTTTCTATTTGCTTTGTAAATATTCCTCCATCCCTTTATTTTTAACCTATGCGTGTCTTTGCATGTGAGATGGGTCCCCTGAATACAGCACACCAATGGGTCTTGACTCTTTATCCAATATGCCAGTCTGTGTCTTTTAATTGGGGCATTTAGTACATTTTCATTTAAGGTTATTACATTGTTAGGTGTGAATTTGATCTTGTCATCTTGATGCTAGCTGGTTATTTTGTACATTAGTTGACGCAGTTTCTTCATAGTGTCATTAGTCTTTATATTTTGATGTGTTTTTACAGTGGCTGGTAGCAGTTTTTCCCTTCCATGTTTAGTGCTTCTTTCAGCAGCTCTTGTAAGGCAGGCCTGGTGGTGACAAAATCCCTCATTATTTGCTTGTCTGGAAATGATTTGATTTCTCTTTCACTTATGAAGCTTAGTTTGGCTGGATATGAAATTCTTGGTTGAAATATTTTTTCTTTAAGAATGTTGAATGTTGGCACCCAGTCTCTTCTGGCTTGTAGGGTTTCTGCAGAGAGATCCACTATTAGTCTGCTGGGCTTCCCTTTGCAGGTAACCTCACCTTTCTCTCTGGCTGCCCTTAACATTTTTTCCTTCATTTCAACCTTGGATAATCTGATGATTATGTGTCTTGGGGTTGCTTTTCTCAAGAGTGTCTTAGTGGTGTTCTCTGTATTTCCTGAATTTGAATATTGGCCTGTCTTGCTATGTTGGGGAAGTTCTCCTGGGTAATACCCCGAAGTGTGTTTTCCAACTTGGTTCCATTCTCCCCATTACTTTTGGATACACCAATCAATCGTAGGTTTGGTCTTTACACATAGTGGGGTTCCATATTTCTTGGAGGCTTTGTTCATTCCTTTTCATTCTTTTTTCTCTAATCTTGTCTTCACACATTATTTCAGTAAGTTGATCTTCAATCTCTTATATCCTTTCTTCCACTTGATCGATTCGGCTGTTCATACTTGTGTATGTTTCATGAAGTTCTCTTGCTGTGTTTGTCAGCTCCATCAGGTCATTTATGTTCCTCTCTAAACTGGTTATTCTAGTTAGCAGTTCTTGTAACCTTTTATCAAGTTTCTTAACTTCTTTGCATTGTGTTAGAACATGCTCCTTTAGCTCAGAGGAGTTTGTTATTACCCGCCTTCTGAAGCCTACTTCTGTCAATTCATCAATCTCATTCTCCATCTAGTTTTGTGCCCTTGCTGGAGAGGACTTGCAATCATTTGGAGAAGAGGCATTCTGGTTTTTGTAGTTTTCAGCATTTTTGTGCTGGTTTATCCTCATCTTCATGGATTTATCTACCTTTGATTTTTGAGGCTTATGGCCTTTGGATGGGGATTTTGTGTGGGGGTCCTTTATGTTGATGTTAATGTTGTTGCTTCCCATTTGTTAGTTTTTCTTCTAACACTCAGACCCCTCTTCTGCTGGTCTGCTGCAGTTTCCTGGAGGTCCACTCTAGACCCTGTTTTCTTGGGTATCACTAGTGGAGGCTGCAGAACAGCGAAGATTGCTGCCTGCTCCTTCCTCTGGAAGCTTCGTCCCAGAGGGGCACTGGCCTGATGCCAGCTGGAGCTCTCCTGTATGAGGTGTCCCTCAACCCCTGTTGGGAGGTCTTTCCCTGTCAGGAGGCACGGGGGTCAGGAACCCACTTAAGGAGGCAGTCTGTCCCTTAGCAGAGCTGTTGCACTGTGCTGGGAAAATCCTTCTTGTCAGGATTGGCTGCTCTCTTCAGAGCCAGCAGGCAGGAAAGATTAAATCTGCTGAAGCTATGACCACAGCTGCCCTTTCCCCAGGTGCTCTTCTCCCAGGGAGATGGGGATTTTGTCTGTAAGCCCTTGAGTGGAGCTGCTACCTTTCTTTCCATGATGCCCTGCCCATAGAGGAGGAATCTAGCGAAACAGTCTGGCCACAGCTGGGTTGCTGCACCCAGCCCAGACCTCCCAATCTCTTTAGCACTGTCTGTGGAAATCTGCCTACTAAAGCCTCAGTAATGGTGGACGCCCCTCCCCCACCAAGCTTGATCATCCCTGGTTGACTTCAGACTGCTGTGCTGGTAGTGAGAATTTCAAGCGCGTGGTTCTTAGCTTGCTGGGCTCCATGGGAATAGGACCTGCTGAGTGAGACCACTTGTCTCCCTGGCCTCAGCTATTTCCAGGGGCGTGAACAGTTCTGTCTCTCTGGGGTTCCAGGCACCAATGGGGTATGAAAAAAACTCCTTCACGTAGCTCCATGTCTGCCTAAACAGCCGCCCAGGTTTGTGCTTGAAAGCCAGGGCCATGGTTATGTAGGCACATGAGAGAATACCCTGATTTGCCGATTGCAAAAACCATGGGAAAAGCATAGTAACCTGGCCTGGTAGCGCAGTCCCTCACGGCTTCCCTTGGCAGGGGGAGGGAGGTCCTCCAGCTCCTTGCATTTCCTGGGTGAACCAACACTTCACCCTGCTTCTGCTCACCCTCCATGGGTTGCACCCAATGCCTAACCAGTCTCAATGAGATGAACTTGGTATCTCAGTTGGAAATGCAGAAATGACCTGCCTTCTGCATTGGTCTCTCTGGGAGCTGCAGACCAGAGCTGTTCCTATTCAGCCATCTTGGCCCTGCCCCCCAAAAGGTAACCTTTCTAAGAGTATACATTAGTATATTATGTGTGTTTATGCAAAAGTGTATATAATAAGATATATCTTCAGAGAAAAATACTGTTGCTATACAATGACTATGTTTAAGTGGCATTAAGCAAATTAGAAACATGTCTAATATGTATACAGAACAGAATGGCTAAAATAAATAAATTGTAACAGCATGTTCTAATAAGAATGCAGAGAAACTGGATCACTCAAACATTGCTGGTTGAATGTAAAAAGGTACAGTCATGCTGAAATAGAGTACAGTAGTTTTGTAAAAACAAAAAAATGAAAAAAGAAAAAACTAAACATAATTATCATGTGACCTGACAATCATAGTCCTGGGCATTTATCTCATAGAAGTAATGCTTCCATTCCTATAGCAAACTGCATATAGATATTTGTAACACCTTTATCATAATGGCCCCAAACTGGAAACAGTTCAAATGTCCTTCAGTGGATGAATAGTGAAGAGACTGTGATTCCTCTTTACCATGGAATACTAGTCAGCAATAAAGTGGCAATATAAAGTATAAAGAAAGAACCCATATGAAACTCTAGATATTCATGCTGAGTGACAAAAGGCAATTGCAAAAGGTTACATACTGTATCATGCCATTTACGTAACATTATTGAAGTGACAAAATTATAAAAATAAAGAACAGATTGGTGAGTGCCCAGGTTTGCTCAGAGGTGAGCATAGACTGGCAGTGGATGTGGCTATGAGTGAAAACTGAGGAATCCTTTCAGCGATGGAAATTAATATCTATATAATGGTTGTGATATTGTGCTGTAGACTTGCAAGATGTTACCACTGGGGAAAAATGGGTAAAGGGTACATGGGATTTATTGTGTTATGTCTTGCAGCTATATGTGAATCTACAATGATCTCAAAATTGAAAGTTTAGCTTAAGAAAGTATGAAGAAAAACCAAGCTTTAACTATTCAAGTTAAACAAATGGCAAGTTTATCCATGTTTCTGAAAATGTCAGGGGTTCCTGAAGATGGCCAAATAGGAACAGCTCCAGTCTACAGCTCCCAGTGTGAGCGATGCAGAAGACGGGTGATTTCTGCATTTCCAACTGAGGTATCGGGTTCATCTCACTGGGGAGTGTCGGACAGTGGGTGCAGGACAGTGGGTGCAGCGCACTGAGCATGAGCCGAAGCAGGGCGAGGCATTGCCTCACCGGGGAAGTGCAAGGGGTCAGGGAATTCCCTTTCCTAGCCAAAGAAAGGGGTGACAGACGGCACCTGGAAAATCAGGTCACTCCCACCCTAATACTGCACCTTTCCAAAGGTCTTAGCAAACAGCACACCAGGAGATTATATCCCGCACATGGCTCAGAGGGTCCTAAACCCACGGAGTCTCACTCACTGCTAGCACAGCAGTCTGAGATCAAACTGCAAGGTGGCAGCAAGGCTGCGGGACAGGCGCCCGCCATTGCTAAGGCTTGAGTAGGTAAACAAAGCGGCCAGGAAGCTCAAACTGGGTGGAGCCCACCGCAGCTCAAGGAGGACTGCCTGCCTCCGTAGACTCCACCTCTGGGGGCAGGGCATAGCCAAACAAAAGGCAGCAGAAACCTCTGCAGACTTAAATGTCCCTGTCTGACAGCTTTGAAGAGAGTAGTGGTTCTCCCAGCATGCAGGTGGAGATCTGAGAATGGAAAGATTGCCTCCTCAAGTGGGTTCCCCAGTAGGGGCAGATTGACACCTCACATGCCTGAGTACTCCTCTGAGACCAAACTCCCAGAGGAACGGTCAGGCAGCAACATTTGCTGTTCACCAACATCTGCTGTTCTGTGGCCTCCACTGCTGATACCCAGGTGAACAGGGTCTGGAGTGGACCTCCAGCAAACTCCAACAGACCTGCAGCTGAGGGTCCTGACTGTTAGAAGGAAAACTAACAAACAGAAAGGACATCCACACCAAAACCCCATCTGTACGTCACCATCATCAAAGACCAAAGGTAGATAAAACCACAAAGATGGGGAAAAAACAGAGCAGGAAAACTGAAAACTCTAAAAATCAGAGTGCCTCTCCTCCTCCAAAGGAACACAGCTCCTCATCAGCAATGGAACAAAGCTGGTGAGGACAATGGTGTGGTCTCTCAGACCACAGTGCAATCAAACTAGAACTCAGAATTAAGAAACTCACTCAAAACCACTCAACTACATGGAAACTGAACAACCTGCTCCTGAATGACTACTGGATACATAATGAAATGAAGGCAGAAATAAAGATGTTCTTTGAAACCAACGATAACAAGGACACAACATACCAGAATCTCTGGGACACATTCAAAGCAGTGCGTAGAGGGAAATTTATAGAACTAAATGCCCACAAGAGAAAGCAGGAAAGATCTAAAATTGACACCCTAACATCAGAATTAAAAGAACTAGTGAAGCAAGAGCAAACACATTCAAAAGCTAGCAGAAGGCAAGAAATAACTAAGATCAGAGCAGAACTGAAGGAGATAGAGACACAAAAAACCCTTCAAAAAATCGATCAATCCAGGAGCTGGTTTTTCTAAAAGAGCAACAAAATTGATAGACCGCTGGAAAGACTCATAAAGAAGAAAAGAGAGAAGAATCAAATAGATGCAATAAAAAATGATAAAGGGGATATCACCACTGATCCCACAGAAATACAAACTACCATCAGAGACTACTATAAACACCTCTACGCAAATAAACTAGAAAATCTAGAAGATATGGAAAAATTCGTCAACACATATACTCTCCCAAGACTAAACCAGGAAGAAGTTGAATCTCTGAATAGACCAATAACAGGCTCTGAAATTGAGGCGATAATTAATAGATTACCAACCAAAAAAAGTCCAGGACCAGATGGATTCACAGCTGAATTCTACCAGAGGTATGAGGAGGAGCTGGTACCATTCCTTCTGAAACTATTCCAATGAATAGAAAAAGAAGGAATCCTCCCTAACTCATTTTATGAGGCCAGCATCTTCCTGATACCAAAGCCTGGCAGAGACACAACAAAAAAAGAGAATTTTAGACCAATATCCCTGATGAACATCAATGTAAAAATCCTCAATAAAATACTGGCAAACCGAATCCAGCAACACATCAAAAAGCTTATCCACCATGATCAACATGTGCAAATCAATAAATGTAATCCAGCATATAAACAGTATATGCATATAAACATATAAACATGTGCAAATCAATAAATGTAATCCAGCATATAAACAGAACCAAAGACAAAAACCACATGATTATCTCAATAGATGCAGAAAAGGCCTTTGACAAAATTCAACAGTCCTTCATGCTAAAAGCTCTCAATAAATTAGGTATTGATGCGACATATCTCAAAATAATAACAGCTATCTATGACAAACCCACAGCCAATATCATACTGAATGGGCAAAAACTGAAAGCATTCCCTTTGAAAACTGGCACAAGACAGGGATGCCCTCTCTCACCACTCCTATTCAACATAGTGTTGGAAGTTCTGGCCAGGGCAATTAGGCAAGAGAAGGAAATAAAGGGTATTCAATGAGGAAAAGAAGAATTCAAATCGTCCTTGTTTGCAGATGACATGACTGTTTATCTAGAAAACCCCCATTTTCTCAGCCCAAAATCTCTTTAAGCTGATAGGCAAATTCGGCAAAGTCTCAGGATACAGAATCAGTGTGCAACAATCACAAGCATTTTTTTACAACAATAACAGACAAATAGAGAACCAAATCATGAGTGAACTCCCATTCACAATTGCTTCAAGGAGAATAAAATACCTAGGAATCCGACTTACAAGGGACACAAAGGACCTTTTCAAGGAGTACTACAAACCACTGCTCAATGAAATAAAAGAGGATACGAACAATTGGAAGAACGTTCCGTGCTCATGGGTAGGAAGAATCAATATTGTGAAAATGGCCATACTGCCCAAGGTAATTTATAGATTCAATACCATCCCTATCAAGCTACCAATGACTTTCTTCACAGAATTGGAAAAAAACTACTTTAAAGTTCATATGGAACCAAAAAAAAGGCCCGCATTGCCAAGTCAATCCTAAGCTGAAAGAACAAAGCTGGAGGCATCACACTACCTGACTTCAAACTATACTACAAGGCTACAGTAACCAAAACAGCATGGTACTAGTACCAAAACAGAGATATAGACCAATGGAACAGAACAGAGCCCTCAGAAATAATACCACCTATCTACAGCCATCTGATCTTTGACAAATCTGACAAAAACAAGAAATGGGGAAAGGATTCCCGATTTAATAAATGGTGCTGGGAAAACTGGCTAACCATATGTAGAAAGCTGAAACTGGATCCCTTCCTTACACTTTATACAAAAATTAATTCAAGATGGATTAAAGACTTAAATGTAGACCTAAAACCATAAAAACCCTAGAAGAAAACCTAGGCATTACCATTCAGGACTTAGGCATGGGCAAGGACTTCATGTCTAAAACACCAAAAGCAATGGCAACAAAAGCCAAAATTGACAAATGGGATCTAATTAAACTAAAGAGCTTCTGCCCAGCAAAAGAAACTACCATCAGAGTGAACAGGCAACCTACAGAATGCGAGAAAATTTTCGCAATCTACCCATCTGACAAAGGGCTAATACCCAGAATCTACAATGAACTCAAAGAAATTTACAAGAAAAAAACAAACAACCCCATCAACAAGTGGGCAAAGGATATGAACAGACACTTCTCAAAAGAAGACATTTATGCAGCCAAAGGACACATGAAAAAATGCTCATCATCACTGGCCATCAGAGCAATGCGAATCAAAACCACAATGAGATACCGTCTCACACCAGTTAGAATGGCGATCATTAAAAAGTCAGGAAACAACAGGTGCTGGAGAGGATGTGGAGAAACAGGAACACTTTTATACTGTTGGTGGGACTGTAAACTAGTTCAACCATTGTGGAAGTCAGTGTGGCCATTCCTCAGGGATCTACAACTAGAAATACCATTTGACCCAGCCATCCCATTACTGGGTATATACCCAAAGGACTATAAATCATGCTGCTATAAAGACACATGCACTTGTATGTTTATTGTGGAACCATTCACAATAGCAAAGACTTGGAACCAAGCCAAATGTCCAACAATGATAGACTGGATTAAGAAAATGTGGCATATATCCACCGTGGAATACTATGCAGTCATAAAAAATGATGAGTTCATGTCCTTTGCAGGGACATGGATGAAGCTGGAAACCATCATTCTCAGCAAACTATCACAAGGACAAAAAATCAAACACTGCATGCTCTCACTCATAGGTGGGAATTGAACAATGAGAACACATGGACACAGGAAGGGGAACATCACACACCAAGGCCTGTTGTGGGGTGGGGGTAGTGGGGAGGGATAGCATTAGGAGATATACCTAATGCTAAATGACGAGTTAATGGGTGCAGCACACCAACATGGCACATGTATACATATGTAAAAAACCTGCACATTGTGCACATGTACCCTAAAACTTAAAGTATTAAAAAAAAAAAGAAAATGTCAGGGGTTCCTTCTTTTTGAAGGCTCAATAATATTTCATCACATGTATACATCACTTTTTTCTTGATATAATCATCTGTAGACAGACACTTAGGTTATATCCCAATTTTTGCTGTTAAATAATGCCGCAATAAATATGAGAATGCAGATATCACTTTAGGGCCCTGATTTTAATTCTTTTGCATATATACTAAGAAGTGGGATTGCTAGATCATAAGATTGTTCTAATTTTAATTTTTTGAGAAAGTTCTGTAATGTTTTCTATAGCAGGTGCACCATTTTTCTTTCCCAGCAACAGTGTACACCGATTCCAATTTCTCCGCATCCTTGCCAGCATATGCTATTTTTTCTTTTATTTTGTTGATTTGTTAATTTTTTGTTTTTGTTTTTATAATAGGCATTCTAACAGGTGTGAGGTGATGTCTCATTGTGATTTTGATTTGCATTTCCCTGATGATTAGTTATGTTGAGCGTCTCTTCATATACCATTTGTATGTTTTGTAAGTTTTCTTTGGTAAAATCCCTGTTCAAGTCGTTTGCCCATGTTACTTGTTTCCTTGTTTGTTTGCTTTTTCAATTAAGTCATAGGAGTTCCATATATATTTTTGAAACTAAATTATTATCATATAAATGGCTCGCAAATATTTTCTGTCATTCAGTAGGTCGTCTTTTCATTCTGTTGATTGTTTCTCTTGCTGTAGAGATGTGTTTTAGTATGATGTAGTGTCTCTTGTTTATTTTTTCTTTTGTTGCCTGTGCTTTTGCTGTCATAGGCAAGAAATCATTGCCATGGCCAATGCAAGATGATTTTCCTTCATGTTTTCACCAGGAATTTTACAGTTTCAGGTCTTACATTTGAGTGTTTAATCCATTTTGAGTTGATTTTGTTATAATGTAAGACAGGGCTGAATAAAATAGACCAGTCACAGAATGACAGATACTGCTTGATTCCTCTTATGTGAAGCATCTGTAGTAGTCAATGTTGTTGAGACAGAGAATACGATACTGGTTTTGAGTCCTGGCGGACGGGAAGGATGAGAAGCCATTCTTCAATTGATAATAAGTTTCATTCATGCTAGATGAATAAGTTCTAGAGATATAATGTACAATATAATGCCTATAGTTAACAATACTGTATTGTACACATCAAAATGTGTTAGGCAAGTAGACCTCATGATAAATGTTCTTACCACACAAAAAACATACTAAGTAAAAATTTTGAAACAGATGCAAAACTTTGGGAGCTGTTCAGTATGTATTACCTTGATTATGGTGATGGTATCACAGTTGTTTGCACATGTCCAAACTAATCAAATTGTACACATTAAATATACGCGGTTCTTAGGCAAGACACATAAATCTTGGTACTATAGTTCCCTCATCTGTAAGGTGAAACACTAACACCTGCTTCAGGAAAGTGTTATAAGGATTATGCTTAGTAGTGACTAAGCACAATACCCCTGACCAACTAAGTCCTAGATTGGGTAATGATTATTCAACACCACCTGTTTTCTACCTTGCTAGGATAGCACATTGAACATAATAATTATTTAATAAATGTCATGTTCATGCTGTGGCTGTTCAATAAACATTATTTTTTAAAAATAAATTGGTAAACACTAAAACAGAGAATATGCCTATTAAGGCTTTGTATAGACTGTAGCTAGTTTTATCAAGCAAAGAGCAGTGAGCAACCATCTGACCAAAACCTAATCAGCTTTTAAAGTATAGGAGATCTTCTGATGTACAACTTAAAGCTTTCTTGATGTCCCATATTACTTGCTTATTATTTGCAAGTTTGGAATGGGAATGTAAACTCTAATGATGTTAAAACAAACTATGAAAAACTGTGACTTCCTCAGCTTTCATGAATATTAATTCATCAGCAGGTCATTTTGGATTTGTCTGTGAACAGCAAGTTTAGTAGCATGTAAAGTTGCTCAAGTCTATGACCTTGATTCTGTAAATAACAGAGCTAGGCTGACTGATGACCTTGACTGTAAAACTGTGGTCAGATTTGCTAAGCAATACTCCTTTATCTACATATGTATTAATATGTACAATTTTGCTCTTTCACTCATATTTTGTTGTTTTGTTTCCTCCCTAACTCACTTTCCCTCTGTTATTTGTGATCATAAGACGGTTCATGGTGTTATACTTGTATCATATTTTAAATGTTATCATGCAAATTTACATATATAATTTAATTTGAAGCACAGAATAGCTTCGGGATAACCAGAAGTTTGGGAAATATGAAAACCAAAATTTAATATGTTTCTTAGAAATGGACCTTGAGACCTTGTTTGGAAGTTCTAGCCAATTCTTTACTGTAAACAAATATTGACTAAAGAACATTTTTCAATCTGGGAAGACTGGCCTCTTTGACAGGGAACACAAATGAGTCATTGAGGGGTGAAGGGAGAAAACACTTAGGAATTACTGTGATAGCCAACAAAGTATACTTAGCCTTAATAGTCAATTATAAAACAATATATTTTTATAAATATAACATAATTGGAAAGGTGAAATTCAGCTTGATTATAAAAATATTCTCTGATTTGTTCCAAAATAATGCCATAGAATTGTTGAAAATATTAAATGTAATTATATATGTAACAACTTTTACGTGATTGCTCTTACGTAGTAGAGGGTCTATAAATACCATTTCCCTTAATGACAAAGCAGCTGTAACTGAGAAGTTCTATTTGTTTTTACAATGTGCCCCCAGAAGTTCATAACTATGTCACAGCCTGAAAAAATATTGGGCAATGCTGCCCCAAGGCAAAGGGAAGAATCCAAGACATTATGCTGCAGCACGTCACAAAGCCAACAATTTAAGATCCTAGTTTCTGAAATCCATCTCTCGAAATAGTTCCTAAAATATGTATGGGACATTTATTTCAAGAAATTCAAAACCAGTCTTTCATCCTATCTCATTCATTCTCACCAAGCACCCATGGGCAATTGGAGTGTCAAATAAAACCAACCCTAGTTCTTTGAAACATAGAGCTGATAAGTGATTTATTCAGAAACATAATGTTTAATAGACCTCAAGCTTCTGGTTCCCCAGTCTTTCTAGTACTTCCTGACTTAATGAATTAAGTAATTTCTTTGTGAAGAAAACACTTATTACTTCCTGTTTATCTGGCCCTTCTGGATATAGCAGTTTGAAAAATTGGTAATTTGTTTTGAATGTGTTCACACTCATGGTCACCTAGGGCCTTTTTGAGATTGCAGCTCAAATAAACTACACATACTCCTGAACTAGGCATTAACATTGCCAGAATTAAATCACATTTTTCATACAAGCATTAGTTTTACAGGGTGCATGGATTAAAAATTCCAACCCTTTCAGTTAAGGGAGATGTGTGAGAATTCCTTTATTATAAGGTCTATATAAGCAACAGCTGTCATTGCCCAGAATCCTCACTCAAATAAATAATAAATGAAAATTTACTTAAAAATAATATTTTAAATAATAAAAGACTGCATTTCTTGGAAAGAGCAAGCTCATTCACCCTCATTTGAATGGTATTCATCATCTGTGATAATATCAACAATTCTTGTGGACCTTTGTTAAATCATCACCCCCCTTCATGTGATTGGTAAAACAGGTTGAAATGAAATGAAGTTAACATTAGTATGGGGACAGACATAGCTGTGTTTATAAACAGGAAAGTTAAACATCTAATCAAATTATAAAATGGAATATAACATGCAAAAATCAGCATTGCACAAATCTGAGTAGAACTAAGTAGATTTTGAAAATATATTTTGTTTGAGGAAAATTGATATTGTTTTTCATATCGGATATACCAATGTACCTTCCTATTAGCAGTGTACAAGGGTTCCCTTTTCTCCACAAGTTAGTTCAACACTTATTATCTCTCGTATTTTTTGACAGTCGTCACACTAACAGTTATGAGCTGACAGCTCATTGTAGCTTTGACTTGTGTTTTCCTGATTAGTTATGTTAAACATCTTTTCATATACCTGTGGGCCATTTGTATGGTTTCTTTGAAGAAATGTCTATTCAGGTACTTTGCTCATTTTTAAACTGGGTTATTCCTTGACTTGTATGAGTTACTTATATATTTTAGACATTAACCCTTTATTATCACATCTATGATTTGCAAACATTTTCCACCATTCTGTAATTTGCATTTTCATTTTATTGATTATTTCCTTTACTGTGGAGAAGATTTTGTTCGATGTAGTCCTACTTGTCTATTTTGGCTTTTATTGCCTATGCTTTTGGAGTCATGTCCAAAAAATCATTGTCAGTATTATGTAAATTAAGGTCCAATTTCATTCTTTTGCTTGTGGATATCCAGTTTTCCCTTCAGCATTTATTTAAGAGACTATTTTCTCCCCATTGTGTATTTTGGGGAATACACAGATGAATTGTCACAGATGAATTGACCAGATTTGTGTTGGCTCTCTATTCTGTTCCATTAGTCTATATATCTGTTTTTATGCTAATAGCATACTTTTTTGATTACTATAACTTTGCAATATAGTTTGAAATCAGGGAATGTGGTGACTCCAGCTTTTTAATTTTTAAATTTTTTTTATTAAGATTGCTTTGGCTATTCAGGATCTTATGTGGTGCTGCAATAATTTTAGAATCATTTTTCCCCCTTTCAGTGAAAAATGTTGGAATTTTGATAGAGTTGCGCTTAATCTGTAGATCATTTTGGATGGTATGAATGTTTTAACTGTATTAATTCTTCCAATTCAAGAATATGGGATATCATTTCATTTGCTAATATCTTTTTTCCAATTTCTTTCACCTATATCTTATAGTTTTTAATATACTGATTTTTCAACTCTTGGTAAACTTTATTTCTAAATGTTTTGTTATTTTTGATGCTGTTGTAAAGGGAGATTGTCTACTTAATTTCTTTTTCAGATAATACATTGTTAATGTTTAGAAACCCTACTGATTTTTTGCATGTTGATTTTGTATCCTGGTAAGTAGTCCTTAGGACAGGTCACTTAAACATCAGAACAACTCTTTGAGGCTCAGCAATTTTATTTTAAAATGTCAATATTAATAACCTCCCAAATCAATTGTAGGATAAAATAAAATGTTTTTATAAAATTACTCAAAAAGATATGGAACATATATAGTGCTCACCAAATTGTGGCTGCTGTTGCTATTGTATTGTTAATATAACTAGCAACAGTAGTAGTAATAGTATTGAAAACTAAGTTCTTAACTCTTTTGGCTCAATTATTCTCAACAGAGACACTATTAAGTATTCTAATTTTCAGTTTGACCGATGAAGAATGTAATGATGAATGAGTAAGCATCTCATCCAAAATCACAGATTTCAAATGCTCTCCAAAACCTGTACTGCCTCTACTCTCTGGTGTTGCCTACCCAAAGCAAAGTCTGACAAACACAGACGTTTAAGTCAGGGTAGGTGAGTGGTCAAAATCAGCATGAAAGAGGGAAGGCACAGAATCAGGGCAAATGTATATTGTCCCCAGAACAACAGATTAACTTTTTTAGAGCACTGACTTTGTACCAGGTCCTGCTGCATGGTTTTAATATATATCATCTCATTTAATAATTACAACAAACCAAGAAGACAAGTACTATTAATAAAGTAATTATCGCTGGGTGTGGTGGCTCACACCTGTAATCCCAGTGATTCAGGAGGCTGAGGCAGAAGGATCACTTGAGGTCAGGAGTTTGAGAGCAGACTGAGCAACAGAGTGAGACCCCCTCTCTAAGAAAAAAATATTAAAAAAAAAAACAACCGCCTGGGTGCAGTGGTTCACGCCTGTAATCCCAGCACTTTGGGAGGCCGAGGCAGGTGAATCACCTGAGGTCAGGAGTTCGAGACCATCCTGGCCAACATAGTGAAACCCTGTCTCTACTAAAAATACAAAAAATTAGCTGAGCATGGTGGCAGACACCTGTAATCCCAGCTACTTGGGAGGCTGAAGCAGGAGAATAGCTTGAACCCGGGAGGCGGAGGTTACAGTGAGCCAAGATCACGCCACTGCACTCCAGCCTGGGCAACAAGAGTGAAACTCCATCTCAAAAACAAAACAAAACAAACAAAACAAAACAGGCATGGTGGCACATGCCTGCAGTCCCAGCTATTTGGAAGGTTGAGGTGGGAAGATCACTTTAACCCAGGAGTTTGAGACTGCAGTGAGCTATGATTGCAGCACTGCACTCAAGCTTGGGTGACAGAATGGAGACCCGGACTCTATAAAAAAGCAAACAAACAAATAAATAACTATAAATAATTATCAACCTTTTACAAGAAAGTCGAGACATAGTAATTTTTGCAGAGCCATAGAGCAAGCATGTGGTAAAGCTGGTAACTGAATCTAGACAGTCTATTTTCTATGTCTGTGGTGTAACACACATGTATACCAGATCCAGTTTGCTGTGATTAAGAACTCTGGCTCTGGTGTCAAACTAACACGGATTGTGTGTGATAACTATGTGAACATTGCATTGTTTGAGAGGTTTTCTTTTTTGTTTTCATTATATTATTTATTTATTTTCCTTTTGGAAGAGATCTTCATTTTTGTTTTTAAATGAACACCAAACCTCTCTTTGCTCCCTAAATTGTTGGATGCTAATATCTTCCCACTGCACACAGGCCATGACCACCTACTATGAAGAAAGAAAAGAAAACAAACTATTTTGTGGGACAGAGAAAAGCTGTAGGAGAGAAAGAAATGTGGATATTCCTCACAAAGATGGAAAAAAAGAAAAAGCGGATTATCTATGAGGAACCAATTGGAGCAACAGGAACTGTTTTTCTGGTTCTTGACAGTGCAAAAGGCAGATGACCAGACCTGGGTAGTAATGACTGTGTGCATCAGCAAGAATGTAAAATCCTCAGCCTCATGAAAAATTCCCGGAGTTCAAGCTTGGCAAGAAAATAGGGGAGAGTCCCTTAAGTGTGAGGATTATGATTTATATATGCAACATAGAAAAACACCATAGTGCTCTCTCATGAGTGTGTGTGTGTGAGAGAAATGACATAAAAACTATAGAATGGAGAGCATACTGCCTGAAAGTTTTAACTACTCAATAAATTTTAGCTATTAATATTGATATTTCTGTCATGACTTCTTGTTTCATGGAATGGATCATTATTAAATGGCCAAGGGTAACCTCCTTTAATCTTAAATCTTAACATTACAGATGTCTGTGTTTTTTATATTTTACTCTACCTTATATTTATTTTTCACTAATATATCTTTTTTAACTAATTGGTCTTCCTCTCCCTTTAATCTTTCTAACTTATGATTATCTACTTAAATGCAACTTGAGTTTTTCAAGAAAAATTGTATCTAGGTTAATATGTGGAACAAAACTTTTCGATATATGGTAAAAAGTAACTTTTAATCTATTTTGATGCTTTGTGTTAAATTGATATCTAGTATATATAGTGTTGATATACATTCTCTTTTAGTAGTACAGTTTCTGTCCAATTAAAATATGCTTATAAACATATATTTGAGTTATATGTAAATAAAACAGTGCATATAAATCTTCTGTTTTTGTACTTATAGCAGATGAAACCAATATGAGTACCCAAAATGGATAAGAAATAGTCTGGCTGTAGTTCAGCTACAGAGAGCTCATAATTTCTTTACTGCTAAAACCTTCTTACCATTAAACCATTATTTATTAATCCTTCTGACAAAGGCAACAAAGGAGATAAATTTTACATCTCAAAATACAACAAATTAAAATTCCATTTTCAGATAGATTGTGTGTATCCAGTGCCAAGTATTTGATTTTCATATTTTCCCAGTTCCTGGTTTTCTAATATGCCCAGAATTAACATACCCAGAAACGAGATAAATGCATGTAAGTATATTCTGTGTTTTTAAATTTATGATATCTTATATTTAATTTATTTATCAAAAAAACTAGTACTGGGAAATAAGAAAATCTAGTAAGCTAAATGCCACATTAAAAAGATAATAAATACTCACTTTATTTTTTTGGTACCAATTAGCTAAGTTGGGTTTAAAAAGGGGAAATTACTAATAGAAAAATAGAAATTATGGTAATTATTTAAACGATCTTTTTACTCCTTTTCTTGATTTATTTTTGTTTGTGTCTTCTTCCTCTATATGTTCTTTATTTTTCACTGTGGAACTTATAAACAGGTAACAGCAAATAGCCATGTTAACCAATTCCCTGTACGTTTGGAAAGTGGTGATTTTTTTTTTAATTTAGCAATCATGACTTACAGTTTGAACTATGATTGTTAAATGTGAATTGTTGTATATGTTAGTTTTCTTTTGCTGTTTTCTGTTGTGTTGTCATTATTGTTTTAGTATTTCTGGTATGTTTCTATACTCTGCTACAGCTTGACAATGCTGAGGTTGCAGACTTTCTCCATCTCTTTTTGCTGATATCCAAATTTATCTTTCCTTGCAATGTTATTCTCAACAAACTTGTTCATGATTTCATTACATTTGTCAAGAATGTTTGTCCTCATCTTTGACACTGCGTTGCTATGTCTTACCTTCAACTATGGCTTTCCTGTTCAAGTTGTGGGATTTAACAGAACTCTTAGAACACCTTGTCTCTTCTTCTCATTTCAACTTTGTGTTTCTTAGCCTCTTAAATTGAACACTCATTGTCATCTTTGAGCAAACGGCCCTTGTCACTTTGATTTGAGACTCACCATGGATACAGTAGTATGCCTGTGTGTTACAACTTCCCAAGCAGGTTGCTATGGAACATCTACCTTCACAAACTAGAATGAGCATATTAAACTGGTTATCTGAGTAAGCAGTGAAGGCCTGTGTCTGTTTTTTGGGCATGCTGATATTGTGTTCAATATGAACCATTTTGAGTTCAAGACCAATGGAAAAATTGCTGATATACAAGAGCAGCACATGTTGAACATTGTCAGATTTGTACCCAGATGAGATTCCTGCCTGAACAGCTGCACCACAGACAACAGCCTCACAGGGGCAGATGTTCCTGTCAAATTTTCTACATTGAACAAGTCCTGTAAAAATTTGTGAATATTCAGGTTATACGCATAATCATCCATCAGGATGGGGACACTCATCTGTGACTTGTCTAGCTTTGCATAGGGAAGGGCTTTCTCCAAAGATTCAGAAGGCTACAATACAGATGAGCATTTCCTTGTTTGAACTGGAACAGATGATGGAGGTATAGGAGTCAGCCTCATCTTAAAGAAAATCAGTATCAATATTGACCTGAGTTTTGAACAGAAAGTACATTCAGCATATTTACAAGTAGAACAGACATGAGAGTTAATTCTCTTGTTCTCATTGATGTCTTTCTTATACTTGGACTTGAAATAAGAAACAAAATGTTAGACCTTTTGTCTGTGAAAATCTTCTCTTACTAAGTGTTAGTCTTTAGATTTGACCAAAAGTATTAATACTCAATAGTGAGGACTTACACATTAAAAAAAAAACAACACTTTTTAAGTTAAAGATGAACCTATTTTTTATGATATAATCATTTTATTTTTATTTTAAGTTCAGGGATGCAAGAGCAGATGTGTAACATAGGTAAATGTGTGTCACAAGGGTTTGTTGTACAGATTATTTTATCACCCAGGTATTAAGCCTAATACCCATTAGTTATTTTTCCTCATCCTCTCTCTCCTCCTGCCCTCCACCTTCTGAAAGGTCCCAGTGTGTGTTGGTCGCCTCTATGTGTCCATGTGTTCTCATCATTTAGCTACATGATGAGAACATGCAGTATTTGGTTTTCTGTTCCTGTGTTAGTTTGCTAAGGATAATGGCCTTCCGCTACATCCATGTCCTTTCAAAGGAAATGGTCTTGGTATTTTATGGCTGTATGGTATTCCATGGTGTATATTTACCATATTTTCTTTATACAGTCTACTACTGATGAACATTTAGTTTGATTCCATGTCTTTGCTATTGTGAATACTGCTGCAATGAACAGACATATTCACGTATCTTTATAATATAATGATTTATATTCCTTTGGGTATATACCCAGTAATGGAATCACTGACCTGAATGGAATTTCTGTCTTTAGGTTGAGCAATTGCAACAAAAGCAAAAATTGACAAATGGAATCTAATTAAACTAAACACTGTCTGCACAGCAAAAGAAATTATCAACAGATAAACAGACAACCTACAGAATGGGAGAAAACTTTTCAAAACTATGCATCCACAAAAGGTCTAATATTCAGTGTCTCCAAGGAACTTAAACAAATTTACAAGAAAAGAAACAAACAACCCCATAAAAAGTGGGCAAAGAATATGAACAGACACTTTTCAAACAAAAGGCATACATGTGGCCAACAAGCATATGAAAAATAGCTCAACACCACTGATCATCAGAGAAATGCAAATCAAAACCACAATGAGATACCATCAAATACCAGAGAGAATGGCTATTATTAAAAAGTCCTAACAGTTGCTGGTAATGTTGTGGAGAAATAGAAATGCTTATACATTGTTGCTGTGAGTGTAAATTAGTTTGACCTATTTATTTTACCACCAACGTCTTGTTTAAAACCATAAACAACAGCAACAGTCAATGACTTTTTGATAATTCTCAGAATACTGAGACCGACAATAGGTCTAGCATCTGGAAGTTTGATGTTGACAATTATAGTAAGCTAACATTATGACAAGAGCATTTGTAATAGTCTCCCCAAGGTAGGCACCAGTGATTTCTTCATCTTTGCTAGAACTGTAGAAGATAACTCTCTTGAACAAAAGTTTTTGGACTCTTCCTTGCAGTCCATCTGGACCGTGGGCCTTTTGCATCATTTGCCCACCAAGAAGGACCAATGCTTCATATCAGATGGGAAAACAGCATTATCAAAGCTACATCAGACAAACATGGTCTGATTCTTTGAAACACCATAAATTAATGATGAAATATTAATAAACATAACACGGGTTTAGGTGCTCCACCTAATCATTGACAATTATCTCCAATTTCAGAGGCTGGAAGAGACCTACAAAAGTGGTGCTAATATCCCTGGCAATTATAGATAGCTCAGCCACGTATTCTTGAGTGTACATCTAACTCAGTTCATTGAAGAAAGTAGTGACTGGAGCTGATGCTATGTTCTATAAGAGCCTAATTTTTTAAAAAAGAGAACGTACATATTACTTTATTCAGAGAGTAAAGATGGGACTTGTTTATTTTAAAACAAATACTCTAACAAATTATTCAAATTACCAGGATCTTAAAAACATTCAAGTTAGATTTGTTGGCAACATTCCTTGCAATATACCTCCGGATAAATTAATGTAAGTAAAAAATAAATGTAATGGCGCACATATAAACACATGACATCTGTGCTGTTTAAAAGTTTTATTATACAAAAGTATAATATGGAGATAGGTGGATTGCGGAGAGAAATAAATTCTTTCTCAATTTAAATGTCTACATAGTAAAGATTGCATTTTATGTGTAAACTGTTTAATCTGACTCTCATTGACAGACTTTTTATATTTCTAATTTTTGTCTACAGTAAACAGTAATAAAATACAGTTCATGTATCTCTTTACATTTTTGTAATTATTTTATTAACTCTTCAAGGTCCTATTACTAGATCAAATTATATTTTATATTTCGAGAATAATTTCCAAAATAACTCCCCCAACAAATTATTTATTTCTGATAACATTCCAATGAATAGATCATAAAGACTTTCCATGATATCTCAACATTTGACTATGGTTAAACACTTTAAACTTTCACAAAGTGATAATTGAAAAAATATATCTTATTATATTTTGAACCACCTTTCACATTATTTTGGTCATTTGAATGCTCTCTTTTGTGAAACTCATATTTACATACTTTGCATATTTTTCTAGTTGGGTGATGAAGTTTTTGTAATTAATATGTAGTTGACTGACATGATATTTTCAGTTATTTAATTGCTCCCTTTACCCCCCACAAGATTATTTTTTACCCACACATCTCATATTGGGCTTGATCATGTAATTTGCTTTGACCATGAAGTGGGAGTGGACAAGATAGGTGATGCTGTTGAGCAGAAACTCAGAGCCATTGGTAGTCCCACTATTGCTCTTTATCTCTCTGCTGCAGGGGCGCTTTGTTCTAGAGAGACTTCTTCTGCTGACTTGCAACGTAACATAATTATCTGATGTTGTAAACTACTGAAATGTTTGAGATTATGTTTTTGTATATATTTTTTATTTTTTTTCAATATTTATTTTTTTGAGACAAAGTCTTACTCTGTCACCCAGGCTGGAATGCAGTGGCAGGATTGTCGGGTCACTACAACCACCACCTCCCAGTTTCAAGCGACTCTCCTGCCTCAGCCTCCCGAGAAGCTGGGATTACAGGTGCCTGCCACCATGCCCAGCTAATTTTTGTACTTTTAGTAGAGATGGGATTTCACCATGTTGACCAGGCTGGTCTCAAACTCCTGACCTCAAGTCATCCACCCGCCTCAGCCTCCCAAAGTCCTGGTATTACAGGCATGAGTCATCATGCCCAGCCAAGATTGCTTTTAATGCAACATAACCTAGCCTAGGCTGATTGACAATTCATTTAAAAGTATGTTTGAACATTAAAGGCAGTAAGCTTCTCTCACTTATGTTATTTAGGTTTTATTTTCTGCATAGCATTTGCTTCCAGTGAACTCAACTACCAATTAGAAATTAAAAGTACTCATTTAATTTAAATTTTCAGTATTTGTCTTCATTAAAAAAAATTCTTTTTTTTTTTAACTTTCATCCTAGGTTTGGGGGCACATGTGAAGATTTGTCACATAGGTAAACATGTGTCATGGGGGTTTGTTGTACATATTATTTCATCACCCAGTATTAAGCCCAGTACCCAATAGTTATCCTTTCTGCTCCTCCTCCCTCCTCCCACCCTCTACCCTCAAGTAGACACCAGTATCTGTTGTTTCCTTCTTTCTGTTCATAACTTCTTATCATTTCACTCCCACTTATAAGTGAGAACATGAGGCATTTGGTTTTCTGTTCCTGAATTAGTTTGCTAAGGATGATAGCTTTCAATTCTATCCGTGTTCCTGCAAAAGACAACATTGTGGCTTTTTAATGGCTGCATGGTATTCCATGATGTGTATGTACCATATTTTCTTTATCCAGTCTATAACTGATGGACATTTAGGTTGATTCCATGTCTTTGCTATTGTGAACAGTGCTGCAGTAAACATTCATGTGCATGTGTCTTTATGATAGAATGATTTCTATTTCTCTGGAAATATACCCAGAAATGAGATTGCTGGGTTGAATGGTATTTTGCTTTTAGCTCTTTCAGGAATCACCATACTACATTACACAAGGGTTGAAATTATTTACACTTGCACCAGTAGTGTATAAGTGTTCCCACTTCTCTACAGATTTGCCAGAATCTATAATTTTTTTACTTTTAATAATAGCCATTCTTGCCAGTGTGAGGTGTTATCTCATTGTGGTTTTGATTTTCATTTTTCTAATTATCAGTGATGTTGAAATATTTTTCATATGCTTTTTGGCCACATGTATGTCTTCTTTTGCGAAGCATCTGTTCGTGTCCTCTGTCCACTTTTAATGGGGTTGGTTGGTTTTCTCTTGTAAATTTTTTTAAGTTCCTTATAGATACTGGATATTAAACCTTTGTCATATACATAGTTTGCAAAAAGATTTTTTTCCCAATCTGTAGGTTGTTTATTCTGTTGGTAAGTCCTTTTACTGTGAAGAATCTCTTAAGTTTAATTAGATCCCACTTGTCAATTTTTGCTTTTGCTGAGATTAATTTAGGGGCCTTTGTCATGAAATCGTTGCCTGTTTCTATGTGCAGGATGCTATTGTCTAGGTTGTATTCTAGGGTTTTCATAGGTTTGGGTTTTACATTTAAGTTTTTAATCCATCTTGAGTTGATTTTTGCATAAGGTATAAGGAAGGGGTCTAGCTTTAATCTTTCACAAATGGCTAGCCAGTTACCCCAGAACATGTAATGAATAGGGAGTGTTTTCCCCATGGCTTCTTTTTGTCATCTTTGTTGAAGATCGGACAGTTGTAGATGTGCAGCTTTATTTCTGGGCCCTCTATTCTGTTCCATTGTTCTATGTGCCTGTTTTTGTACCAGTACCACACTGTTTTGGATACTTAGTGGAGTGTTGAAGTCTCCCACTATTATTATTTGGTAGCGTATGTCTCTTTGTAAGTCTCTAAGTGCAAGCTTCATGACTATGAGCACTCCTGTGTTGGGTACATATATATTTAGGGTAATTAGGTCTTCTTGTTGAATTGAACTCTTTACCATTAGGTAATGTCCTTCTTTGCATTTTTTTATCTTTGTTGGTTTGAAATATGTTTTGTCTGAAATTAGGATTGCAACCCCTGCTTTTTTTCCTGTTTTTCATTTGCTTGGTAGATTTTCCTTCATCACTTTATTTTGAGCCTATGAGTGTGATTACCCATGAGATGGGTCTCTTGAAAACAGCACAGCCTTGGTTCTTGCTTTTTTATCCAGCTTGCCACTCTGTAACTTTTAAATGGGGCATTTAGCCTGGTTAGTATTGATATGTGCGGATTTGTTCCTGTCATTGTGCTGTTAGCTGGCTATTATGTTAGCTTGTTTGTGTGGTTGCTTTACAGTGACACTGGTATGTCTCTGTTTAAGTGTGTTTTTATATTAGCTGGTAGTGGTCTTTCTTCCCTTTCTATATTTAGTGCTTCTTTTAAGATCTCTTGAAAAGTAGGTCTGATGGTAATTAATTCCCTCATCATTTGCGTATCTGAAAAGAATCTTATGTCTCCTTCACTTAGAAAGTTTAGTATGACTGGATGTAAAATTATCAGTTGATTTATTTTTTCTTTGAGAATGTTGAATATAAGCCCCCAGTCTCTTCTGGTATGTCGGGGTTCAGCTGGGAGGTCCACTCTTAGTTTGATGGGGTTCACTTTGTAGGTGACCTGCCCTTTCTCTCTAGCTGCCTTTACTAAACATTCTTACTCTACTTTTCAGCCTGAGAAAATCTGACAATTATGAGTCTTGCAATAATCTTCTTGTGTAGAATCTTGCAGGAGTTCTCTGTATTTCCTGAATTTGACCGTTGGCCTCTGTAGCAATGTTGGGGAAGTTTTCTTGGATAATATTCTGAAATATATTTTCCAAGTTGTTTGCTTTCCCCCCTCCTTTTCAGGGATGCTAATGATTCATAGATTTGGCCTCTTTACATAATCCCATACTTCTCAGGTATTTATTTATTACTTTTCATTCTTTTTTCTTCATTTTTGCCTGACTTATTTGATAGAACTAGTCTTTAAGTTCTGAGATTCTTTCCTCAGCTTGGTTTATTTTGCTATTAATACTTTTGATTGCATTGTGAAATTATTGTATTGTGTTATTCAGTTCTGTCTGACACATTAGGTCCTTTTTTGTATGGGCTATTTTGTCCTTCAGCTCCTCTATTGCTTTATTATGATTCTTATTTTCCTTGGATTGGGTTTTGCCACCATCCTGAAATTCAATGATCTTTGTTCCTATCCATATTCTAAATTACATTTCTGTCACTCCAGACAGTTAATCTTGGTTAAGAACTCTTGTTGGAGAACTGGTGCAGTCGTTTGGAGGACATATGATGCTCTGGCTGTTTGAGTTAACAAAGTTCTTGCATTAATTTTTATCATCTCTGAGTGTGGGTGTTCCTTAACTGCAGTATAGATTAAGTACAGTCAATAAACTACTTTTCTGAATGTTTTCAAAAGGCTGAGGCTTTGTGCAGGGTCTCCATTTGAAGCTGACGTCTTGTCTCTATTTTCAGAGGGGGTTATGTTAGTGAGGTAATTTTGGTGTTGAAGCTTTGGGATGTGATCTAGCAGATGGCATTTAGGATCTTTGGTTAGTTGTTAAGACTCTTGCTCGGTTTTGTGACTCCGCTAGTGATATGGTTTGGCTCTGTGTCCCTACCCAAATCTCACCTTAAATTATACTGATCTCCATGTGGCAAGTGTGGTAGTAGGTGGAGATAATTGAAGCATGGGGGCAGTTTCCTCCATGCTTTTCTTGTGATACTGAGTTCTCATGAGACCTGGTGGCTTTATGAGGGGCTCCTCCACTTTTCTCAGCTCTCATTATCTCTCCTGATGCCCTGTGAAGAGGTGCCTTCTATCATAATTGTAAGCTTCCTGAGGCCTCCCAAGCCATAAGGAACTATGAGTCAATTAACCCTTTTTTCTTTGTAAATTACCCAGTTTAGGATATTTTTTCATAGCTGCATGAGAATGGACTAATACATCTATGTTTCCCAACAGTTGCAGCAATGTTCCCTCTCAGTATTCTGAAAGCATAGGTTCCTCTCCCCCTTGAGTGCTGGCTGTACGTTGTGACTTGGCACTCCTGGGATTCCCGTGGCAGCTTTGGAGCAATCTCAGTGTTTATGAGCAATCTCAGTGTTTATGTTTCTTCCCCAACTTGGAGGCAGCAGAGGAAACGATCTTAGCAGTGGTTTTGGCTGAGGGTCATTTGCTTGACCTGCACCCCAGAGAGATGCAGGTCAGCAATTACTCAGTGCAATCAACCCAGGATAGAGTGTCTGTGCTGTGAGCCAAAGACAAGAGTTCTCTGTCTAGTGATGAGCAGTGGGGAGTATGTGGGACTCTTGGGAGACAGACTGACCTCCTCTCCTTGGGTTGACTGCAGCTTGTTGGAGGTGTAGATGAGGCACCCAAGCATTTTGTTTCTTTGTTACTCTGAAGGTGTCAAGGGCAGTTCCACTGCAGAGGCAGTAACAGAGAGGCTTTTATTTAACCCTGGAGGCTCTCTCCAGGGAGTTGCCGAGTTGCTGCTGGCTCTATAACTTTGGCAGCAGGTGGCTGGAGGCCCAGACCTAGAGGACCAACTTGGTGAGGAGATATGGGAATGGGTAGCCACATAAAAGTCTGGTCACTTTTCCATAGGGATGCTGTGGTATACTTCTGGCCCACTCTAGTCACTTGTCATCTTGGGTTTTCCATTACCTGGGGGTATCACCAATGAAGATTGCAAAACAGCAAAGATGGCAGCCTTTCCCTCCTTCTGGGAGCTTTGTCCCTGGGAAGTACAGGTTTGTTGCCAATCCAAAGGTACCTGTAGGACATGGTTGGAGACCCCATTTGGAAAGTCCCTTCCAGTGAGGAGGAATGGGATCAGAGACCTGCTTTAAAAAGCAGTCTGGTCACATATTGGTAGAGCAGCTGTGTTGTGCTAGGGGTCCGCCTCAGCCCTCAGTCACCTCAGATACTCCAAAGCCCAAAGGCTGGAATGGCTGAGTTGCCCAAACAGCAAAGATGGTGTCCCTCCTCTCCCTCTGGGAGCTCTGTCCCAGGTAGGTTAGAAAATTTTGTCAGCCGGAGAATGCCAACAGGGGTGACTGGAGGCCCCAGTTGGGCGATCCCACCAAGTGAAGAGGAATGGGATCGGGTACCCAATTAAAGCAGCAATCTGACCATGTTTTGATAGAGTAGCTGTGCTGTGCTGGGGGGATTCCTTCTGCCCCAGGTGGGCTTAGACTCTGTAAATCCTGAAGGTGGGAATAGCTAAGGTTCCCAAACAGCAAAGATGGTGGCCTGTCCCTCCCACAGAGAGCTCCTTCTTAAGGTGTGCAATGTCACTACCAGTGGCTGGCTGGAATTCAAAGCCAGTGGGTCTTATCTGGTGAGTTGCCATGAAAGTGGGGCTTGTAGGCTGTCACTGCTCAGCCCCCTGGAATCAGCCTCTTTCTTAAGGGCGGTCTAACCTCCCAGTTTGCAGGACAGCAGCAGCTACTTTTGCAGGAAAGTCTGAGTATCTAAGACTATAGGGTCTCCACGCATGCCTGAGTGGTGCCTCTGCCAAGATTCCACATAACTCTGTCTGTCAGGCTAAAGGTGAAGGCCATGATGGAGTAGGTTCACAAGATCTCCTGACCCAAGGGTTGCAAAGATCCATAGGATGAGCATGGTTTTCTGGGACCACACATTCACTCACCACTTCCCTGGGTAGTGAGTGTATGTGTAGGTCATGACTTGGCACTCCTGGACTACCCACTGCAGCTCTGTGGAGATCTCAGTGTTTATGCTCCTTCCCCAACCTGGAAGCAGCAGAGGAAGGGATCTTAGTAGTGGTTATGGCCAAGGGTCATTTGCTTGACCCGCACCCCAGAGAGATGCAGGATCTGGGGTGTAGGTCAATGGAGGTTCCCCTGACTCTGTGTTACTCCCAGGTTGGCTGTTGTGTGTTGCTTTTCTTTGTTTTCCATGGCTCAATTTGTTTATTTGATTAGTCCCAACGTGAGTACCTGGATGTTTCAGTTGAAGGTGTTGTATTTCATCACTTCTTCCATTCCTTTCCATATAAGCCATACACACTGGCTGCTTCTAGTCCGCCATCTAGACCACCCCCTCACCCTATCATGTCCCCAGTCTTCATTTTTAGACTAACGTAAAGTATAATATTTTGTTCCAATAAGCATATACTACTTAGACATTTTTATCTGATGCTAAGATAAGTTTATGTTTATCATGTATTTTCTTTCTGATGATGTTTGGTATATATTCATGTTTCCCTTTAAAAAATATAAATATATTGATACATAAAGAGAAAACAAATAGAATTGTACTGTTATTTAGTGTCACAACAAAATTAATATTTGTAAAGAAAGGAACATCCTTGCTATGACTTCTTCTCTAACTACCTCATTTGTATCACCTTACATATATTTGTGATACTTACGCCAAGATCTGCCAATCTAAATTCTAATCCAATACAACCCAGCTTTAGCTCATTTTTTTCCATTAGTTCATCTAATTTGTGTCTTCTCAAAACTATTTTAACACTTTTATCTGGCAATCAAAATTTAACATTTTATTAGGAAGAAATATGAAATGATTAATTAACTCATATGCAAATTGTCTTCCCTCAAATCTGACATGCCTTAAGTCAGAGATAAGATTTTAACCTTGAGTGTTCAAAATATCTATCATCTACTAAACAGAGAACAGAACACCAGTAAAACATTAAACTTAAATTTAATTAGTTTAATTAAACTAATTAAATAATAGTAAATTATTCATAGTTTCCATCTCATCACAATGAAAACAGTTGTCATTACTACATGCTCACTCTTTATTCTAACACATTTCTCAATCAATATATATATATGTTAAATGTGGTGAGAACATTTTTAAAGCTGTTTGTGAAATGATGACAGTAATTAGATGGATTTAATAAACAAGGGTTTCTACCAATTCAGCATCATTACTTTATTTTCTATAACTAAAATTTGTCAAATAATGTACAGCATCAAAAATTATCATGTATTATGTAAGTATCATTGTCCTTTTATCTAAGGTACTGTAACATTACAAAATGTTAAAAAAAAAATCAGAACATTTTTAATGACATAATTAAAGTGTTTACAGAAGAATCAAATGTAAACATAAAATGTAATCTGTAATATTTTCTTTTGAGAACAACAAAAGGTCAATGGTTGATAATATTAGGGGTAATGTATTAGTCTGTTTTCAATCTGCTGATAAAGACATGCCTAAGACTGGGTAATTTATAAAGAAAAAAGATTTAATGGAATGACAGTTCCATGTGGCTGGGAGGGCTTTACAATCATGGCAGAAGGCAAAAGGCACATCTTACATCGTGGCAGACAAGAAAGAATGAGAGCCAAGTGATTGTGAGACTTATTCACTACTATGAGAATAGTATAGAGGAAACCACCCCATGATTTAATTAGCTCCCACTGGGTCTCTCCCACAACATGTGGGGATTATGGGCTCTACAATTCAAGATGAGATTTTGGTGGGGGCACAACCAAATCCTATCATTCCGCCCCTGGCCCCTTCCAAATCTCATGTCCTCACATTTCAAAACCAATCATGCCTTCCCAACAGGCCCCCAAAGGCTTAATTCATTTCAGCGTTAATTCAAAAGTCCACAGCCCAAAGTCACATCTGAGACAAGTCCCTTCAAGCTATGAGCCTGTAAAATCAAAAGCAAGTTAGTTACTTCCTAAATACTATGAGGGTACAGGCATTGGATAAATATGCCATTCCAAATGGAAGAAACTGGCCAAAACAAAGGGGCTCCAGGCCCCATGAAAGTCTAAATCCAGTATGGCAGTCAAATATTAAAAATCCAAAATAATCTCCTTTGATTCCATGTCTCACATCCAGGTCACACTGATGGAAGAGGTGGGCTTCCACAGCCTTGGGCAGCCCTTCCCCTGTGGCTTTGCAGGGTAGCCTCCCTCCTGACTACTTTCATGGTCTGGCATTGAGTGTATGCGGTGTTTCCAGGCACACAGTGTAAGATGTTGGTGGATCATTTTGGGGTCTAGAGGATGGTGGCCCTCTTCTCACAGCTCCCCTAGGCAGTGCTCAAGTAGGGACTCTGTGTGGGGGATTCAACCCCACATTTCTCTTCCTCACTGCCCTAGCAGAGGTTCTCCATATGGGCCCCATACCTGCAGCAATCTGCCTGGACATCCAGGCATTTCCATACAACCTATGAAATCTAGGTGAAAGTTCCCAAATCTCAAGTCTTGACATCTATACACCTTCAGTATCAACACCACAGGGAAGCTACCAAGGCTTGGGGCTTGAACCCTCTGAAGCCATCGCCTCTTTTAGTCATGGCTAGAGTGGTTGGGATGCAGGGCACCAAGTCCCTAGGCTGCACAAAGCAGGGGGGCAGCACACAAAACCATCTTTTCCTCATAGGCCTCTGGGCCTGTGATGGGAGTGGCTGCCACAAAGTTCTCTGACATGCCCTGGAGACATTTTCCTCATTGTCTTGGTCATTAACATTTGGATACTGGTTACTTATGCAAATTTCTGCAGCTGGCTTGAATTGCTCCTCAGAAAGTGAGTTTTTCTTTTCTATTGAATTGTCAGGCTGTAAATTTTACCAACTTTTATGATCTGTTAACCTTTTAAAACTGAATGCTTTTAACTGCACCCAAGTCACCTCTTCAATGTTTTGCTACTGAGAAATTTCTTCTGCCACATACCCTAAATCATCTCCCTCAAGTTCAAAGTTCCACAAATCTCTAGGGCAGAGGCAAAATGCTGCCAGTCTCTTTGCTCAAAACATAACAAAAGTCGCTTTTGCTTCAGTTCCCAGCAAGTTCCTCATCTCTGTCTGAGACAACCTCAGCCTGGATTTCCTTGTCCATATAATTATCAGCATTTTGGTTAAAGCCATTCAACAAGTCTCTAGGAAGTTCCAAACTTTCCCACATTTTCCTGTCTTCTTCTGAGCCCTCCAAACTGTTCTAACCTCTGCCTGTTACCCAGTTCCAAAGTCATTTCCACATTTTCAGGTACCTTTACAGCAGTGCCCCTCTCCCAGTACCAATTTACTATATTAGTCCATTTTCACACTCTTTATAAAGACATACCCAAGTCTGGGTAATTTATAAAGAAAGAGAGGTTCAATGGACTCAGAATTCCGTGTGGCTGGGGGGACCTTACAATTATGGTGAAAAGCGAAAGGCATGTCTTAAATGGCAGCAGACAAGAGAGAATGAGAGCCAAGCAAAAGGGGAAACCCCTTATAAAACCATCAGATCTCATGAGACTTATTCACTACCATGAGAACAGTATGGAGATCATTCTCATGATTCAATTATCTCCCACCCGTTCCCTCCCACAATACATGGGAACTGTGGGAGCTACATTTCAAGATGATATTTGGGTGACACAGCCAAACCATATCAGGTAATATCTTATATTTCTAAATTATCTTAGGTGAATATGCCAGTTTTTCATTATTAGAAACTAAGAAATGCACTGTCATTAAAACTAAATTAAAATGGAAAAAAAAATTAAGTATTTCTTACAAGGAAATCAACAATATTATTGGATTTTAATTTCACTAGAAGTTTTGAGATATTTCTAGTTGAATATTACATACAAATGTCAAAATATTGGCTCAGAAAAAAATATATATGGAAAGGTGTTTGGGCATTAACTTCTTTTCATTTTTATTGATTCAAAGAGTGAAAGAAAGTCAAAATATTTGTGCTTAGGAAAAAAAAGAAATCACAGTTTTTGTTCCAATTTAGTTCACTTAAATGCAAGCCTCCTACTTAACGTGTAGGTTGTATTCTAAATAGTGTTGTCTAAATCAATTATTTGAAAATTGGAATGTATTTTTCATCACTATAATACATTGAGTAATGATTATGTTACTTATCTAAATAGCTCCACAAACTCAGCATGCAAATATAGCCATATCTGTTTTCTTTTTTTCTATTAATTATTCAAACAAAACTCTGCTTTATTAAAGGAAATACCATTGTTAGAGGCATTAAAGAGAAGACAAAAATATGACTATGGACAAGGGCAAAACATTTGTAAATCACATACCTGATTAAACTCTTACATATAGAATCTATAAAGAACTCTCAAAAAGTCAAGAGGCAACAAAAATTCAATTAGAAAATCAGCAAAATACATATCAACATTTCACCAAAGAAGAGATATGTTAGGAAATAAGCATATAAAAATTTGTTCAATATCACTCACTATTAAGAATATACAAATTAATGCTACAATGAGATACCACTACAGACATTAGAACAGCTAAAATTAAAAAAAATAGTGACAAAACCAAATGCTTCTGAGACTGTGAAGAAACTAGACCTTTCATACATTGCTGGTGGGAATATAAAATGGTACAGCCACTCTGAAAAGTAATTTTGCAGTTTTTTATAAAATTATACATATCCAAACATACAATTTAGTAATCACACTCGTAGGCAACTAAGTGAAAACAACATTCATATTAAAACCTGTACATCAATGTCCATAGCAGCCATTTTTCTTTTTTTTTTTTTTTTGGTAATAGTCAAAACTTGGAAGTATCCAAATGTCTTTCATTGGGTAAGTGTTACATCTGTGTTACATCTATGTATATCTATGTTATATCTAACAGATGTACATCTATGTTACATCTATGTCATGCATTTTACTCAACAAGAAAAGGAAGCAAATATTGACACATGCAACTACCTAGGTGGATTTCTATATAATTATTATTCGTGAAAGAGGTCAATTTCTGAAGTTTAAGTTCTGTATTGTTTTATTTACAAAGCATGATACGGCATTGTTGAAACTATAGGATAGTGGTTGATAACAGATATGTGGTTCTCAAGAGGCAGGTAGGCATGGGCTTGTGAATAGAAAGGCATAACATGAGGGAGGTCACTCGTGATGATGGAAGAGTTCAGTACTTTTATTTTTTGTTGTAAAAATGTGTACACATCTAACAAATGTGTACTTGTTAGATGACAGACTGATAGATGAATTGCATAGAACTGTGTACCCGTATGCACAAATACAGTCACAAGAATACATGTTAAAATGGTAATAAATAAATAAATAAAAATGGAAAAGAAAGCAAGATCTATAATCTAGTTAACAGTTATGTACTGAAACCAGTTTTCTGGAATTAATTTTGTTCTACAGCTACATAAATTATCACTACTGAGGAAATTTGGGCAAAAGGCACAGAGTACTCTATGTCCTATATTTGAAATTTCTTGTGTGTTTATAAATATTTCAAGATTAAAAGGTAAGAAAAAAAAACAACAAAAGGAAATCTACCTTTGATGACTTCTACTGTCCTCTGACTTCTCAAGGAGCCATACAGATCTCAAGGAGAGCATCTACCTAGATTCCACACACAATGGATAAAAGAGTTAGATCCAATCAATATATTGCTGCTGTTGCTTATCACCACTATTGGGTATTATTTTTGAAAATTTATATTATATAGACTCAAGAGGCAATATTTTTCCTCTGTTGTGTTGGTAGGTTGCAGTTTCTCAAGTTTTTTACAAAATAATTAATTCTGTAGGACTCAGCTAAAAAATTGTCCTACATTGGATTGCCAAATCATGCTGTACTTCTCATACATGGAAAATTTCCAAAGTGTCTGGCACTCCAGAATCATAAAATCAAGAGCATTTGTAGCATTCTGCCCTTCACAGAACAATATCTACCAGCTCATTAATCAAACTAGGGTTCTGTTATTTTAAAATATTCTCTATACAAATCTATACAAAATATCTTTTCATCCACTCTTTCTCCACTGATGAAATTATTACTCACCCATTCAGTTAAAGAGACTTCCCACTATCTGCATGCAATTCTACCGTCATCTTTATGGGCAGACCTTTCTTTCTAACAGACTTCCAATTCATATTAATTTGCCTGCTACTGTTCTGCAAATATTATGCTCAATTAATTATCATGCAGTATTTCTAAAATATGTCAAAGGTTGGAGTTGGAAGGAGAGAGAACCAAAATTAAAATATTTATTTACTGACTTGATATGCTATCATATTAAGGATCTCAAGTAAATTGACAAAAGCTTATTAAACCTAATTTTTTAAGATTATTAATCAGTCTCAATATAGAAACCTTGTTATTTGATTTTACCTCCATTCAGAGGACCGAATGAAGCTATACAGGACAAACATTTCAGAAGACAAATATGAGTTTTAAAAAATCTATTGATTCAATTGATATGTATAATAAATTGCTTTGCCAAGTAATAAGCCTCTGTTAGAGAAAATTAACCAGAAGTCACTGCGTATGTTTCAAAAATTTCAAACAGCGTATTTCTGTTTTGGTTCTCTATCTGGCCATTTGTGTTTTCTGCCACTCTTGGTTTAAAATAACAGAAGCAGTTTAGCTAATTCAAACAAAGTAGAGGATAATAACAAGAAATATATATGGAGATTGAAGCACAGAAGTCCATCTGGACCTCAAGAATTAATTAGATCCAAGCTCTCATATGACATTGGAGCTCTTTTCATTTTTCACTCCTTGCCACTTTACTGCATTTGCTTTATTTTCTTTATTATTGGTAAGCATCTACTTTTGCTTATTTAATCTGTGTATGGGGGAAATAGGCATTTTTTTCAAAAGCTCCACATCTAATGATTCTGTTTACCACTTCAGACTAGATAGAATTTATCTTCTCATGAGAGCAAGTATCCTGCTATGGACCCATTGACTGTGGACAGACGTTTGGGATCTGGGTAAGGGTAGGTAACAGACCCAGTCTGGATTATGTCTGAGGATTCTAGCTCCTGGCCTATGGCAACCACAAAGGTTTTACCTGGCTATGTTTCACAGGAAAAATATGATCTGCACCGAACATGATGCACAGCTAAGGCATTGCAATGTCTGAAAAGATTTACAGGCAGGGACTCAGGTCCCTTTTGCTGGCCATGCTGTTTTGCACATCTGTATGTATCCCTACCGAAGGGGCCTCAATTGGGAGGTTTTCTTTATGGAAGATTCTTGAGACGCTTTTTTCCACTTAGACTCAATACTAAATATTTTTCCACTCTTAGCCCTTCTCCCTCTCTCTACCACCATTTCCTGGGTCCATCAAATGACAAAAATATTTTACTTGCAGCTCCCTCTGCAGTAAGAGGCCTCCCTCATCTGTGCTCATCCATTTGACCTCTACCCAGTGATATTCTATGCGAAAAATGGAACCGTCAAGGAGCTGGTGCTTCCTCTAGGGTTAGCCCCTTAGTTACACTCTCACAGTAAGTGATTAAGCCTTGATAGTTACTTTTATTGTGGCTCATTGTTTCAATTGCCTACCCCAACACCTGGCAGCTCAGCTCTCTCAGTTCAGCTCAGCTCTTGATAGTACCTACTCCTGTGGAACAACTGTAACGAGGGAACATGCTAGTTTTCCAAATATGACTCTTCATAGTACAGCTATACAATTGAACTGGGGAAAGAGTAACCCCTAAAATAAAGTATCTGCTATATCATCCAGTTCACTATTCTACAGATTATATTGCCTCTGGGGGAAAAAAATCTTTCAAATTGTATGATTATCACCAAGAAGATATAAAATACATATCCCAGAAGGGAAAATGAGCAGCAATGCAACATTCTCAGCCTTCTCAGAAAGATATGCAATATATGTATTACAATACTCTCTGTCAACTAGAATACTAATAATTAAATCAATAACAAAATAATATTAAATAAATTCCAAAATATTAGGTCAATTTCAAATATTAAATCAATAAGTATTAAAATAATAAATATTAAATCAATAAGTATTAAAATAACAAATATTAAATCAATAAATCAATAGAAAATAAAAAACAATACTTATGTATAATACAATATTCTCTAAATTAATATGCTGTTAAGAAGACATATGGTCTGGTATCACCCTGACATTCAACTTAAATAAAATTGGCTTGAATTCCTATCTATATCCTGTGAAAAATCTAATACATGATACAGAATGTCTACTAGTGGCTTACATTATTTACTTATTTCATTTTTTATTTTTGAGGCGGGGTCTCCTTCTGCTGCCCAGGCTGGAGTGCAGTGGTGTGATCACAGCTCACTGCAGCCTTGACCTCCTAGGCTCAAGTGATCCTCCAACCTCAGCTTCTCAAGTAGTTGGGAGTACAGGTACATGCTACCAGGTCAGGGTATTTTTGTATTTTTTGTAGAGACGGGGTTCAGTTGGTCTTCATCTCCTGGGCTTAAATAATGTGGCCGCCTAGGCTTCCCAGAATTCTGGGATTACAGGCATGAGCCTCCAGACCCAGCCACATTTTATTTTTATTTTTAAAATCCCCTCTTTGCAATTTCTTGTTCCCATTGTGTTAATGATTGCACTTCCAATAATGCCTACAGCCTTCTCTATGCTTCGTGTTTACACAAATATAAAATTACATCTCCACTTTCAAGATTAAAAATACTGAGCAAAGTTCTTTTAGTATAATTTCAGATTTGAGAGAAAATACAAGCTATAGTTTATCAATAAAAAAGAAAACCTATAGTATGTTCTCCATTCTTAAAAAATTCCTCGGTCATCTATTTCCACAGAAGATTCCTGTGAGCTTGCTTTTCTCTTTTGCTGCTACTCCCTTCTTCCAGACTCACTGCTCATTCCAGCGCATTCAAACCACACCTAGAGGATGCTGTTTCTATATTCACCCATATCCAGCAGACATTTTTCTAAACAAGATAGTTATCTCCCTGAGAAGAATCTGCAATGGTTTAATTATTTGTTTCCTATATGCTATTAAGACATTCTCGGATAAGAGCTATAGTTAATTATTGCAATTTATGTAATAAAGTCCACATTTGGGGTGCAATTGCTCTAAGATGAACAGATTTCCCAATATGACAAGTAGTGGGAGAGTACAGAGAAGTTATGTATCTATATAATCTGAAGTGGATGGAGACTGTTTCAAGAATCCTTAACCCAGTAATACTAATAAATGCAAAAGCTTATATGTATTTATTACTATGTGACAGACAGTGTCAGAACATCACCTATTTTATTCCTTTTAAATCTTATAACTGCACTCTTCATCACTATTAATTTATCTATTAATAGAATTGTGAAAACTGCTTCAAAAGGAGGCTAAATAACTTGTCCATGGCCCTATGCTTAGTAAAATAACAGAGCTGGTGATTACAGAATTCATAGTTCCAACCAAAGATCAAGATTTTTGGCTCTTTTTATAAAACACTTCATTGATAAGATGAAAATTATTTTAATACTGTATTTCACTTGGATCTAAAATAATTCTCAAAGGTCAAAGTTAACAAGATAAATTTTACATGATTTTAAGAAGATGTAAATTATTTGTATGAGAAGTTCTGTGCTAGCCTGCAAAGTTAGCATATAGACTTCTAATTCTATTAGGGAAAGTATTATTCTGCTTTACTTCCGGAGTGAAATGCACAAAATCTTCACTAAGATATCTGTGGCTAAATTGAGAAATGAATGTTTAGTAACAAGAAACATGTTGGAAGCACACAGAATGTTTTTCCTTTTATGCATTTTTATTCCCTGTCATTGCTCTCACACACTCTATTATTACTAGTCTACCTTCTAAATAAGACTGATTGGTTAGTTGATTACAGGGGTGTCTGAGCACAGATTGTGAAAAGTCTTAAGGTGACTCAGTATGCCATAAATCAAACAGCAGGTGGATGTTCAGGAAACACAATTCCCTGATGCACAAAATATAATAGGATGAAAATGAAAGTAAACAATATTCATTTCTTCAAAAATGACAAAAATCGGTAATAACTCTGCTCGTATACAGAATACAGTTACACAAAATTATCTTCATTTATACATTTAAACATATTTATAGTATGCAAATATTACATTAGGCAATATAGAAGACTTACATTTGAACAAAACATTTTACTTGTCAAGTACATCACCATCAAGCAGAGGAAATAAAATAAGTCATAACATAGAATACAAATTAACAGTACAGGTTTATGATTATTTAGAAGAGAATAAATTAATGTTCCCCTGGGGTGATGATTTGAAGAATAGAAGAGAATTCTTAGGAGGGGTTGCCATGCATAAATTCTATAATTTTTAATGCCAATCAAAGTGGAAATAAAAGCTGAGCATGGCATTTATTTTCACAACAGAGACAAAGAAAGAAAAAAAGACAGTCATCTTTGTTTTCTTACTCTCATTCAGTATCCACACAACATAGGCATTCATTTCTATAAATACTGTTTTCATTCATTCCATTATATTTTGTTTTGCTTCTTTGTTTATCCCATACTATGTGCCAGTAACTACAATAAGCACTTGGAATGGAGAAGGGCGAGCTATAGTCCCCGTCTTCAAGAAGATTTTAATCTAGAGAGACTTTTTTCCATGTCAGAAAATGCCTAATTCTTTGCTCCTATCCATATTGTGGTCACTGCTTTAATATGTGTTATCATCTCTTTTAAGGATTATTTTGAAATTAACACTTTTCTACACTTTCCTCACTTTAAACCAACTTCCAAGTTGTTGAAGATCACCCTTCCAAACCATATGTCTAATTGTACTCTCCCTGTTGATGGGAGTGAACATCAAACTAGATTTCTGAAAGGCTATCAGACTATCAATAAAAAAGAAATTGGACCTGAATGTAGATAACAGTGACATACATACCAGATGAACAGCAGAATTGGTGAAAAGTATCTGTGGTATGTTATGTTCATCTCAGAGCTATTTATAATACTGAAATACAAGGATATTTAAATATCCAACCATTGGGAGACGACTAAATAAATCATGATATGGTAATATAAGAAGTAGTGCATAATTATTAAAAGTAATGATGCATTCAAAATTTCTAACCTAGAAGATATTTCCATGATAGACATTTAAAGTCTTAATTTTTTTTTGTAAATATATATGCGTATGTGTGTGTGTGTGTGTGTGTGTGTGTGTGTGTGTGTGTGTGTGACAGAGTGGAGACAGAGAAAATTCTTGAGAAATGAAACTAGTAAAGATTGATTAGTCAAGGAATTATGGTTAGAACTTCTAGGTTTTTTCAGGATCACTCATAAAAACTCAAGAAATATACATTGAATTTATAATAATTCACCAAAATTCTAAGATAAATTTATAATTATAAGGTTATTAATATAAACATAAAACAATTATATTCATGTTTTTAAAGTGGAGTTTCAGATACAGATGCACATTATAGCAGCACTATTTTATAAAATAAACAATACTTGAAGTTATGTATACATTGAAAATATACTCAGCCATTTTCTAACTTATCTATATTAATTTAGAAAAATATTTTCTACCAGTGTTTTTGTTATGATAACTACATATTAGACATTTATCAAGGAGCCTGGTACTCAGCAAATTGTAGGTATTATTATTTCCCTTAGAATGTATAGTCATGATGTTCACTATGTATAGAAAATATACTTCTTAGACAAATCTATAATATTGTACAAGTGAATTTACCTTCTATCTTTCTTCAACTAAAAACAGATGTGAGTTTTTGCAATTTGGGCTGTTACCTGTGATTCTTTCTTATTTTTCTGATGAAATTATAAATATTTAAAGAAAGACTATGTAACTATAACAGATAATTTGGGGATAATATCTGAAAAAAAAATCATATTTGATAAATTTAAATCTTTCTGGCCGTGATTAGTAATATTCAGGTGCATATAGCCAGATGTGAAAATTAGAGTAGCAATCAGAAGTTAAGTCAATAATGGGAGAATACAATCTTAATATCCCTGGGAATAATTGTTTTCCAAATGATGTTGTATTTTGTCTGGGTCATTTTATCATAAATTTAAACAGTTTGATTTGCAAATAAATCATTCTGAATTACTGAGAGACTGAAATAATTGAACTCTGAAGATCCAGACAATGTCCATATGAACTTCTAATCCCACAATCCTTTTAGTTGTTTAAATGATTAGATGCTGGATTTTCCCTTTCTCTGATTTAACTTAAATCTGGAATATGCTTGAGGTCATAATATTTCTACTGATTAGATTATAATTAAGCATCAAAGTCTTCTTCCACAACTGTCTAGTGTCAAGTTCAGCTTTTTTTCCCCACAACAGCTTCTTTCCTCTCTTTCATGACCTTTATCACTGCCATAGAACAAGCCTTCCTCCTTTCCATTAAAGACTCCAGTTACTCATATTAGGTCACATGAAGTTGCTCTGCAGCTTACTATACTTGTTGAATTTTTAATTTCTTTCTGTGTTTCATTTTATATACTTTGCATTTCCTTCTTCAGTTGAAGTTTTTTTTCTTCTGCAATGTCTAATCTGCCATTAATTCCAACCAATGTAGTTATTTCAGAGATCATAGTTTTACTTCTGGACATTTAATTTGGGTCTTTTTTGTACTTCAACAGCATTAATTAATTTTTTGAAAAACATACGGAATACAGTTCTCACAAATGTTATAATATCCTTGTTTACAAATCTAACATCTGAGTCAGTTCTGGATTTGTATCAATTGATTAATAGCCTCTTCATTATGGAGCATATATTCCTGCTTTTTTGCATGCTAGGTAATCTTCATGTGGATGCCAGACATTGTGAACTCTATGTTGTTGAATAATGGTGATCCTTATTTATTTAGAAATATTATTAAACTTCATTCTGTGATACAGATAAGTTACGTGGAAACAGGTTGATCTTTTTGGGTCATGCCTTCATGATTTGTTAGGTAAGACTAATAGTCTAGGAATAATGATTCCTCGCTACTAAGGTAAGACCTTCTTGAGAATCCCATCTAATGTCACAAGAATTATGAGTTTTTCCATTATTTTGGTGGTAATAGGCACTATCCTCTTCTCTGTGTGAGAACTACGCACTGTGCTCTTTAGTACTTCCTGATCATTCATTTCTTGGCTTCAGGTCATTTCCTCACAAGAATGCACTGACCACTCTCTGATTAATACCAGAGGAGGGCACTCCATATTCAGGAATCTTTATCTTCTCTCTGATATTTTGTCTTAACTCTAAGTGCCTGGTCTTCACAGACTCAGCTTTATCTGCTCAACTGAAGGAGGCCATGAGGTTAGATCTGAAGCCCCCTTTTCCATCTCACCCTGCTCCTCCAGTCTTTTCACAGAGCCTGGAAACACTCTCTCACCACAGTAAGCTTGGGCAGTGTTAGTGCTATCCTCTTTTGTTTCCTGACCTCTGTTTTGGTTGCCTGATGTCCATTGTCTTAAACTGTTTCTCTAAAAATTCCTTTCACACAGGAGAGTAAATATGGTTACTATTACTCTACCATGACCAGAAGGGGAAGTTTTTCTATCTTGGTCAGTCAAGGCTGCTAGAGCAAATTATCATATACTATGTGACTTAAACAACAGAGAATTACTTCCTACAGTTCTAACATGGGAAATTCAAGATGCAGCCATCAACAGATCTGGTGTCTGATGAGGGCTGTCTTTTGTGAAAATTCATATTCTTGTGTCCATACATGGCCGAGAGAGAAAGGAAACAATCTCTCCCCTGTCTCTTGCTATAAGGTCATAAATCCCATTCATGAAGGCTCTATTCTGAAGAATTAAATACCTTCCAAAGACCTCACACCCAAATAGCATTATATTGAGCATTAAACTTATATGAATTTTGTGGGGGGGGCACGCACATTCAGTCCATAGCATTTTTTTGTGTTTTAGATTTCAGTAAAAATGGTATTTAAAAAGTAGAGTGTATTTCATTAAATTTTAAACTTATAAGTAAGTTTAAGATGTATTTATGTATATACTAATTTGAATACATTTATATGCACATATACATATATTCCTTTTAACATTTTACTTTAAAATAAAATTTTGTACATGTTAGAAAATTCAGTTTTAATTTTCAAAGGACATTAAGATAAAGCTTATCATTTTCTTCAACCTACTTAAGCATGTTGTTCAATTGTCTTATTTATAACGGCATTTTCAGCGCGTTCAGTCCATTTTCAGTGTTCCCAAAGATAAATGAATGCTGGAAACATTTTAATTTAGAATTATGTAGTGTTGATAAAGTATTCCTTTGTAATTTTACAGATGGTTTTAAGATAGCATATACTATTATTAACCTACAATAACGGAACATTATAGAATTGTCATAAAGATCCAGAGACAGTCTACCAGAAAAACTGACTATACAGAAAACATGTCTTATGGAAAACATAACACTACAAATCCTTAAGGGATGTTAGAAATATTTTATAAGTTTTTATTTTAAAAAACTATTTGAAGAAAAATTAAATAGTTGCCTGTTGTAACTATTTAAATTTGGGAGAAAAGTAGACATAATATTTAACCTCTTTCAGAATAGCAACATTATTTCTAATTATTATATCAGTGGTAGAATTGTACATCAAATAAAATTGAGTAGATCACAAAGAAAACTTTATAATCAGTGAAATACTCTATCTAGAACTGAAAGTCAAATAAAAATTGGTTTTAAAAGTTTTTATGAAAATTAATAGCTTACAGAAATAGTCACATGAAAAAGAAGATATTACTACAGTAAATACACTAAATAGGGAAACATATTAATTTACTATCTTCCCAAATAAGAACAACTTATGTCCAATATATGTATTTTAATAGACTATTTTATTGGGAGTGGTGTGGGCTTAATGTTTTGGATGAGACCCTCAAGTTAAGGAGAAAAGATTCCTACATTATAAAGTGAGTTTCAGACAATTTAGGATGTTTCTAACTTGCAAACAAAATTCATTACATTAGGATTACTCAATCATGCATCTAAAAATATTTTTCAAAAGGTTTACAATTAATATAGAAGTGAGAGAGGTTGTTAGCAAAAATCTCTTTGGTAAGTAGTTTTTATTATGTTGAGATATCATTTCTACTCATGGAGGTGGACAAAAAAAGTGCTTCCATTTCAAGTGAGTGGGTCCACCAGAGAGCTATTGAGAAACTGGTATCCTTGAATGCAGGGAATGGTACTATAATCACAGGAAAAGTCTCTGTCCTTCTGTAGTTTATATGCCAGTGTACATATACATAAAATTATATTTATGTAAATTAAACCTAGCTAAAATGTTGTTCCAAATAAGGAGTATTATGTCTCATACAATTCTCTTATTTAAAATTGTTATTATAGACATATTTTAATATGTACTTGTTATATATATATACATATAGTTTATATAATCATATAATTTTAACATAAGAAAGTTGATTATTCTTGATATAATTATATTCATAATAATACATATTAATAAAAATGTTCAAACTACTTAGATATATGATCTAAATTTTAGTACTGCCCTTCCTATAATATCAATAGCAAATGAGTCAAACTAATAAATAAATACTATGTAACGATTTAAATTATTTTAAAGAAGAAAGCACATTGTCTTCTTAAACTTGCAGAAGAATTAAATATATTTGGATGTCTTCTTTTTAAAAAATCAATTGCAGCAGAGCCTGTTTGTTTCTATCTAGTTTTCATTCCATATAACTACAACACAGACTAGTCCTGAGAGCTCCTGTTCAGATATGGCAATCCAAATGAACCATCTGCCTTTGTTGGGCTATTTTGAGATAGACTGTAAAATATAATAGAGAGAGATCCCATATATCCATCACTAATTTTCCCTCCAATAGTAACATTTTTTGTAAATATAGTACAATGTCACTACCAGGAAAAGCACTAGACAAATTACACCCATCTTATCCTCAATCGGGTTTCACTAGTTTTGCAGATGTGTGTGTGTGTGTGTGTGTGTGTGTTCTATGCAGTTTTATCACATTTATAGATTTGTGTGACCATTATCACAATCAAGACATAGAATAGTTCAACCACAGGGATCCCTCCTTCTCCCATTTTATAGCACTACCATGAACCCTGCCCAGCCACAAAACACCTAATATCTGGCACTACAATTCTGTTCCTTATCCTATATATTTTTTTCATTTCAAGAATGCTATATAAATGGCTTTTTAAAAACCCAGCATAATTTCCTAAAATGCTATTTACATTTTTACATGCATCAATAAATTTCTTATTTTGTTATTGCTGTGTAGTATTCCACAGTATGGATATACCACAGCTTAACAATTCACCCATTGAAATATATTTGAACTGTTTTCAACTTTTGACTGTTGCAAATGAAGTTGCTGCAGACACTCATATACAGGTTATTATGTGAACCTACATTTTATTTATCTGGTATAAATGCCCAATAACAATTGTTGGGTCATATGATAAACTTTTTTTTACTTTCTTAAGAATATACTATACTCTTTTTCAGCATGGCTGTACAATTTTACATTCCCACCAGCAATGTATGAAAGATCCAGTTTTTGTTCATGCTAATCAGAATTTGCTGTTTTATTACTTTTATTTTAGTCATTCTGGTAGGTATATGGTGAAAAATCATTGTGGCCTCAGTTTGCAAATTCTTTATGACTAATATTATTACACATATTTTCCTGTTCTTATGTACCATCTGTATATACCTTTTCACATATCACTAGCACAATCAAAAAAAAGGAAAATATTTTTCCACATCTCTGTACAATTTTTAGAACAATAAAGACTCAAGGGAGAAGGTGTTCATTTAGAACAATGAAAACAAAATTAATTTCAGCTAAAACAGAACTCAATTGCATAAATAAAAATGGTCAGAATATTGAAAATCTTTGATAAAATAATAGGAAGGACTTCATATTTTCTGAAGAAATATTCATCATTTGTCTTTTGTTTGAATGTTGATTACCTCCATGGTTTTGAGAAAACAAATCCCGCATATAACTCTCCTTCTGGTGTTTGCTTTGATATTACCCTTGCTAACAGAAAAGTTGGTGTGTGTTTCTGTATAAAATCAAAGATGGCCTAGCAATAAAATTATATTATACTCTCACTTTACATCATACTATGAGATTTTTAACAATAGCTAAGGCATCATCATTGGTATGGACATAATAACTCTTTTTAGGAGTTGGTTGATGTGAAGTTTAGGAGGGTTAGATTAGCTCATTATCATAAAATAGAGGTGACTCTTCCTATGCTTTAACAAAGAGACTGGTGGCATTTTGCTCCTGCTCTAGAGGTCTGTGAAACTTTGAACTTGAGAGAGATGACTTAGGATATCTGGCAGAAGAAATTTCTAAGCAGCAAAGCATTCAAGAGGAAACAGAGCATAAAACTTTGGAAAATTTGCAGCCTGTAGATGTGATAAAAGAAAAAAAACTCATTTTCTGTGGAGAAATTCAAGCCTGCAGCAGAAATTTGCGTAAATAACAAGAAGCTGAACGTTAATCAATGAGAAAATAGGAAAATTGTCTCTAGGGCATGTCAGAGACCTGCATGGCATCCCCTCCCATCACAGGCCTGGAGGCCTAGGAAGGAAAAATAGTTCTGTGGGCTGGGCCCAGGGCCCCCCTACTCTATGCAGTCTTGGGACATGGTGCCTGAGTCCCAGCTGCTTCAGCTACATCCATGACTAAAAGGGCCCAAGGTACAGCTCAGGCCATTGCTTCAAAGGGTGAAGCCCCAAGTCTTGGCAGCTTACATGAGATGGGTGCACATACGTCAAGAATTGAGGTCTGGGAACCTGTGCCTAGATTTCAGAGGATATATGGAAATGCCTGAATGTCTAGGCAAAAGTTTGCTGCAGGTGTGTGGAGGCTCTCATTGTGACCTTTTGCTCCAGAACGACTGCAGGAATGTAGTAGGAAAGCCAAGAGAATCCACAGACCTTCTGAAGAAAGTCTATTGCTCCTACAGGATAGAACTGGGAGATACCCCAAATACTGTGAGTGCCCAAACTGTGGATGTGGGAATGGGAGCTCATCTACCACTGAACACACTTCCCCACTGGGGAACCTGAAGGTCTAGATTATGGGAGAAGATTGTGACCTTACCTGGAGCTGAGTCAATTTAGAGAGCCAAGCGAAATACAGGGGTAGAGGAAGCAGCAGGAAAATCCCTGTGGCCTCACTGGGTTCCCTAGCACGACATTTCTGCCTTGCCTCACTGGCTTCTAGAGGAGGGCTCCCAGAGTCAATGGGAAAAAGCCGCAAGGAGATGGAAACCCCCAGCTGAACTTTGTAACAATTTGAACCAATTGAGAAGTCTCTCGGGGAGAGCGTGAGTCTGGTGCGCAGACGCCACAAATGGAGAAAGAAAGAAAGCCCTAATTTCGCAGCTGGGAGGCAGGTAGCCTGGGCAAGTTCTCAGCCCCGCTCACCCACTGCCCGCACAAGAACTGTTCAAGTATCGTCTGAGCTCAGACATGCCTAGGCCTGCCCCCACCTAATGGTCCTTCCCTATCCACCCTGGTAACTGAAGAAAAAGGGCATATACTCTTGAGAGTTCTAGGGCCTCACCCACCACCTGTTTCCCCCCGTGCTATCACAGCTGATGCTCTCTTGAAGCACCACTTCCTAGCAGGAGGCGAACCAGCACAAAAATAGTACATAAAACAACCAAAACTAAGGACTCTCAGACTCCCCCTGCCACCTCCACTGGAGCAGGCGCAAGTATCCATGGCTGAGAGACACACAGAGGGTTCACATCACAGGACTCTGTGCAGACAACTCCCAGTACCAGCCTAGAGCCTGATAGTTTTGCTGGGTGGCTAGATCCAGAAGAGAGATAACAATCACTACAGCTCGGCTCTCAGGAAGCCACATCCCTAGGAAAAGGGGGAGAGTACCACATCAAGGAAACACCCCATGGGACAAAAGGAATTGAACCACAGCCTTGAGCTCTAGACCTTCCCTCTGACAGAGCCTACCCAAATAAGAAGGAACCAGAAATCCAACTCTGCTAATATGACAAAAGAAGTTTCATTAACACCCTCCAAAAAAATCACACTAGCTTACCAGCAATGGATCCAAATCAAGAAGTCCTGGATCTACCTGAAAAAGAATTCAGAAGGTTAGTTATTAAGCTAATCAGGGAGGCACCAGAGAAAGGTGAAGCCCAATGTAAGGAAATTAAAAAAAAAAAAAGATACAAAAAGTGAAGGGAGAAATATTCAGCTAAATAGATAGCATAAATAAAAAACAATCAAACTTCAGGAAACAATGGACGCACTTACAGAAATGCAAAATTCTCTGGAAAGTCTCAGCAATAGAATTGAATAAGCAGAAGAAAGAACTTCAGAGCTCAGAGACAAGGTTTCTAATTAACCCAATCCAACAAAGACAAAGAAAAAAAGAATAAGAAAATATAAACAAATCTTCCTAGAAGTCTGGGATTATGTTAAACAACCAAACCTACGAATAATTGGCATTCCTCAGGAAGAAGAGAAATCTAAAAGTTTGTAAAATATATTTGGGGAAATAATCAAGGACAAATTTCCCAGCCTTGCTAAAGAAGCAGACATCCAAATGTAAGAAACTCAAAGAACATCTAGGAAATTCATCACAAAAAGATCATTGCCTAGGCACATTGTCATCAGGTTATCTAAAGTTAAGATGAAGGAAAGAAACTTACAGGCTGTGAGGCCAAACACTAGGTAACCTATAAAGGAAAACCTATCAGATTAACAGCAGCTTCCTCAGCAGACACCCTAGAAGATAGAAGGGATTGGGGCCCTATCTTCAGCCTCCCAAAACAAAACAATTATCAGCCAAGAATTTTGGATGCAGTGAAAATAAGCTGCATAGCTGCGTAAGTGAAGGAAAGATATAGTCTTTTTTAGACAAACAAAAAATGAGATAATTCACCACTACAAAACCAGTAATACAAGAACCGCTCCAAGGAGCTCTAAATCTTGAAACAAATCCTGGAAACACATCAAAGCAGAACCTCTTTAAAGCACAAATATCACAGGACATACAAAACAAAAATACAATTAAAAAAACAAAAATTAAAGGAATACAAGCCGCAAATAGCATGATGAATGGAATGTTACTTCACACCTCAATACTAATGTTGAATGTAAATGGCCTAAATGCTCCATTTAAAAGATACAGAATTGCAGAATGGATAAGAATTCACCAACCAACTATCTGCTGCCTTCCAGAGAAACACCTAACACATAAGAACTCATGTTGACTTAAGGTAAAGGGATGGAAAAAGATACTCCATGCAAATGGACACTGAAAACAGGCAGGAGTAGCTATTCTTATATCAGACAAAACAAACTCTAAAGCAACAGTAGTTAAAAAAGACAAAGAGAGTCATTATATGATGATAAAAGGCCTTGTCCAAAAAGAAGGTATCATAATCCTACATATATATGCACCTAACACTGGAGCTCCCAAATTTATAAAACAATTACCAATAGAACTAAGAAATTAGATACACAGCAACACAATAATAGTGGGGGACTTCAATACTCCACTGATAGCAATAGACAGGTCATCAAGACAGAAAGTCAACAAATAAAAAATAGATTTAAACCATACCCTGGAACAAACAGACTTAACAGATTTTACAGAACATTCTACCCAACAACTGCAGAATATACATTCTTTTCAACAGCACATGGAACTTTCTCCAAAATAGACCATATGATAGGCCACAAAACGAGCCTCAATAAATTCAAGACAATTGAAATTATATCAAGCACTCTCTTAGACCACAGTGGACTAAAACTGGAAATTAACTCAAAAAAAAAAAAAAACCTTCAAAACCATGAAAATATATGGAAATCAAATGATCTGCTCCTGAACAATCATTGGGTCAAAAATGAACTCAAGAGGAAAATTAAATAATTATTCAAACTGAATGACAACAGTGACACTACCTATCAAAACCTCTGGGATACAGCAAAGGCAGGTGCTAAGAGGAAAGTTTATAACCCTAAAATCTACATCAGAGAGTCTGAAGGAGCACAAACAGACAATCTAAGATCACATCTCAAGGAACTAGAGAAATGAGAACCAACCAAACCCAAACCCAGCAGAAGAAAGGAAATAACCAAGATCAAAGCAGAACTAAATGAAATTGAAAAAACAAATGAACAAAAAACCAACACAAAAGATAAATGAAACAAAAAGCTGGTTCTTTGAAAAGATAAATAAAATTGATGGATCACTAGGAAGACTAATCAAGGAAAGAAGAGAGAAAATCCAAATAAGATCAGTTAGAAATGATATGGGAAATATTACAGCTGACACCACAGAAATACAAAAGATCATTCAAGGCTACTATGAACACCTTTACACATGTAAATTAGAACACCTAGAGGAGATGGATAAATTCCTGGAAAGATACAACCTTCCTAGCTTAAATCAGGAAGAATTAGATACTTTGAACAGACCAATAATGATCAGCAAGATTGAAATGCTAATAAAAAATATTAACAAAGAAAACCTCCAGGACCAGATGGATTCACTGTAGAATTCTACAAGATATTCAAATAATTGGTACCAATCCTATTGACACTATTCCACAAGTTAGAGAAAGAGGGAACCCTCCCTAAATCATTCTATGAAGCCAGTTTCACCCTAATACCAAAACCAGGAAAGGACATAATCAAAAAAGAAAACTACAGACCAATATCCCTGATGAACATAGATGCTAAAATCCTTTACAAAATACTAGCTAACCAAATCCAAGAACATATCAAAAACAAAATCCACAATGATCAAGTTGTTTTCATACCAGGGATTCAGGGATGGTTTAACATACACAAGTTAATAAATGTGATATACTACATAAAAAGAATCTTAAACAAAAATTACATGATCACCTCAATAGATGCAGAAAAAACATTAGCAAAATCCAGCATCCCTTTATGATTAAAACTCAGCAGTATCACTATACAACAGACATACCTCAATGTAATAAAAGCCATCTATGGCAAACCCACAGCCAACATAATACTGAATGGGGGAAAGTTGAAAGCATTCCCTCTGAGAACTTGAGCAAGACAGGGATGCCCACTATCACCACTCCTCTTCTATATAGTACTTGAAGTCCTAGCCAGAGCTTTCAGACAAGATAAAGAAGTAAAGTGCATCCAAATTGGTAAAGTGACTGTCTGTTGATGATATGATTGTTTACCTAGAAAACCCTAAAGACACATCCAGAAAGCTCCTAGAACTCATAAAATAATTCAGGAAAGTTTCCGGATACAAAATTAATGTACACAAATCAGTAGCTCTTCTATATACCAACAGCGACCAAGCTGAGAATCAAATCAAGAATTCAACCCCCTTTACAATAGCTGCAAAAAAAAAAAAAAAAAAATACTTAGGAATATACCTAACCAAGGAAGTGAAAGACCTCTACAAGGAAAACTACAAAACACTGCTGAAAGAAATCATAGATGACACAAACAAATGGAAACACATCCCATGCTCACTGATAGGTAGAATAAATATTCTGAAAATGATCATACTGCCAAAAGCAATCTACAAATTCAATGCAATTCTTGTCAAAATACCACCATCATTCTTCACGGAATTAGAAAAAACAATTCTAAAATTCAAAAAGAACAAATCTAGAGGCATCATATTACCTGATTTAAAACTATACTATACGGTCATAGTCACCAAAACAGCATGATACTGGCATAAAAGTAGGCACATAGACAAATGGAATAGAATAGAGAACCCAGAAATAAACCCAAATACTTAACAGTCAACTGATGTTCAACAAAGCAAACAAAACATAAAGTGGGGAAAGGACACCCTTTTCAACAAATGGTGCTGAGATAATTGGCTAGCCACATGTAGGAGAATGAAACTGGATCCTCATCTCTCACCTTATACAAAAATCAGCTCAAGATGGATCAAGGACTCAAACCTAAGACCTGAAATATAAATATAATATAAATATATATAATTATATTATAATATATTGTATATGATTATATTGTATGTATATGAATATATTATAACATAATTATATTATTATATATAATATTGTATAATTATATAAATGAATAATAAACAAATAAATAAATAAAAAGATGAGATTTGGGTAGGGACACAAAGCCTAACCATATCATAGACATTATTATAAAATAGAGATGGCTAATTTTTAGGTGCCTATTTTCTTTTTTAATTTAATTTTATTATTATTATACTTTAAGTTTTAGGGTACATGTGCACAATGTGCAGGTTAGTTACATATGTATACATGTGCCATGCTGGTGTGCTGCACCCATTAACTCGTCATTTAGCATTAGGTATATCTCCTAAAGCTATCCCTCCCCCATCCCCCCACACCACAACTGTCCCCAGAGTGTGATGTTCCCCTTCCTGTGTCCATGTGTTCTCATTGTTCAATTCCCACCTATGACTGAGAATATGCAGTGTTTGGTTTTTTGTCCTTGCGATAGTTTACTGAGAATGTTGATTTCCAGTTTCATCCATGTCCCTACAAAGGACATGAACTCATCATTTTTTATGGCTGCATAGGATTCCATGGTGTATATGTGCCACATTTTCTTAATCCAGTCTATCATTGTTGGACATTTGGGTTGGTTCCAAGTCTTTGCTATTGTGAATAGTGCCGCAATAAACATACGTGTGCATGTGTCTTTATAGCAGCATGATTTATAGTCCTTTGGGTATATACCCAGTAATGGGATGGCTGGGTCAAATGGTATTTCTAGTTCTAGATCCCTGAGGAATCGCCACACTGACTTCCACAATGGTTGAACTAGTTTACAGTCCCACCAACGGTGTAAAAGTGTTCCTATTTCTCCACATCCTCTCCAGCACCTGTTGTTTCCTGACTTTAATGATCACCATTCTAACTGGTGTGAGATGGTATCTGATTGTGGTTTTGATTTGCATTTCTCTGATAGCCAGTGATGGTGAGCATTTTTTCATGTGTTTTTTGGCTGCATAAATGTCTTCTTTTGAGAAGTGTCTGTTGATGTCCTTCGCCCACGTTTTGATGGGGTTGTTTGTTTTTTTCTTGTAAATTTGTTGGAGTTCATTGTAGATTCTGGATATTAGCCCTTTGTCAGATGAGTAGGTTGTGAAAATTTTCTCCCATTCTGTAGGTTGCCTGTTCACTCTGATGGTAGTTTCTTTTTCTGTGCAGAAGCTCTTTAGTTTAATTAGATCCCATTTGTCAATTTTGGCTTTTGTTGCCATTGCTTTTGGTGTTTTAGACATGAAGTCCTTGCCCATGCCTAAGTCCTGAATGGTAATGCCTAGGTTTTCTTCTAGGGTTTTTATGGTTTTAGGTCTAACGTTTAAGTCTTTAATCCATCTTGAATTAACTTTTGTATAAGGTGTAAGGAAGGGATCCACTTTCAGCTTTCTACATATGGCTAGCCAGTTTTCCTAGCGCCATTTATTAAATAGGGAATCCTTTCCCCATTGCTTGTTTTTATCAGGTTTGTCAAAGATTCGATAGTTGTAGATATGCGGTGTTATTTCTGAGGGCTCTGTTCTGTTCCATTGGTCTATATCTCTGTTTTGGTACCAGTACCATGCTGTTTTGGTTACTGTAGCCTTGTAGTATAGTTTGAAGTCAGGTAGCATGATGCCTCAAGTCAATCCTAGTTGCCTATTTTCATCTGCTTAGGATGCCACATAACACCACAGACTGTACAGTTTAAACAACAGAAATTTATTTCCTCACAGTTCTGGAGGCTAGAAGTCCAAGATCAAGGTTCCAGCTGAATTTGTTTCTAGTGAGGTCTCTCTTTCCGGGTTGCAGATGGCCACCCTCTCAGTGTATGCTCACAAGGACTGTATATGTGCAGAGAGAGAGAGAGAGAGAGAGAGAGAGAAATCTGGTGTCTCCTCCTTTTCTGATAGGGATGCCAGTACTAAAAGATTAGGACCTTACCCTATGACCTCATTTAACCTTCATTACCTCTTAAAAGCTCTATTGCAAAATACAGTCACATTGGGAGATAGGGCTTCAGCTTATGAATTTTGGGGGAACCTAACTCGGTCCATAACAGGAATTAATATAATGAGTGCCCAGACTGTTAGTGAATATGTTGATGTTATAATTGTTTTTGCCTCACAATTTTAGATAATGAATATTTGGATAAAAATGTTCACTATATTACAATTTTTAACACTTTAAATATTACGTTCTACTCCCTTCTTACTTGCTTGGCTTCTAAAAAGAAGTTTGATTCAATTCTTATATCTGTTACTCTATATAACAATGTATTTCTTCTTCTGCCTTATTTTAATATTTTATCTTTGTGTTAGGTTTTCTACAGTTTTAATATGATATTCCTAGGTATATTTTTTTCATATTCATCCTGCGTAGCATTCTCTGAGTTTTTTGGACCTGTAATTTGGTATTTGTCCTTAAGGTTCGAAAGATCTCAGTCACTATGATTCAATTTCTTCTTATATTCCATCTGTTTTCTTAGAAAAATTTTATATAAAAATATCACTTAACACACATTGTCCCCATAATAGAACACATAAGTTTTATAAATAAATATAATTCTATTTACTTCTAGTAATAGGAAATAATTTTAGAAATTAATTTATATGCATCTGTAATTAGATATTGTGAATGAGTTGTATGTATTTCAAAGCCTAGCTTTACCCTGCACAGTGTTTGATAGATAGATAAAGCTCTCAGGTACCAGAAAAATCTATCAAAGTCCCAAAAATTTTTACTATCTAGTTAAATATTTTGTTTCACAGGGCCACTCATTAAATACCAAAGTGGTGGTTTGAAGTAGCAAGGTCAAGTAGTGCTTAGAGAAGGCCAAATATTTGAAAGTTCTTCCATGCACTCCCATCCAGAGTAGTAAATATTTATTGTTGTTATCTAATTTGTCTTTTAACTTTTTAGTTTCCATTCCCATCTTTCTATTCTATTTAGAGTAGACAAGTGCCTGTGCTTCAAAGTAATCAAATGTCTTTTTAAGAACTTCTGCTTGTATTAGCACTGGGAAACTAGTTACCAACATTATAAACAAATCATATGAATGGTCAATCATTATATCATAAGAAACTTCCAGCTTTGAAATGCCACGGTCATTTTTGGCATAAGATGTCTCTTCATCAAGCTTTGTACTGGCTGCATGATTTTGGAGGTTGCTCTGCTTTACCTAATGTACAAAACTAAAAGTATGCTTTTCATTCTCAGGCAAAATATAAAATCCACTGAAAAAAGAGAATAAAACTGCCAAACTCTCCTGATAGGAAATCCCACTTGGTGAACCTTTAAAAGCCTTATATAAATCTGGTTATATTGCCTTTGATGTAGTTCTCTTCCAGGGGATTCAACAACTTCCTCAGTCTGTTAAGTAGTGTACTAACCCTCTCAGATATACTGCACCCCACTCAAGTTTCACTAAAGTTTGGTACAATTGTGACATACTTATAGCTCTTTATTCCAGCTGATATTCAGATCTCCTTTCTGAGCGTTAACTTCATCAAGTTCTGGCCCCCAACCTATTGCCTTAATATGTGTTTCATACTGACTTGCAGGAAATACAACATTTAAACAATTTTGTCTTCCTGTACTTTTTTTTCATGCCAGAAAGCATTACTACTATGCAAAAAAGTAAAAAAAAAATAATTAGTTTAAATAAAAATTTGATATTGTCATGTGGGTGGTGTGCATTCATGTTTACATACATGCTCTGAACAGAATACTTCGGCTGAGCAGAGGGATGAGGATTTTATTTTTGTTGGTGTGCTAAGTTAGAATCACCCTTCTCACAATTAAATTATTTAAATCAGAAAGTCTGTTAAAGCAAATTTGTACAACCAGAAAATGTTTTCCCTGCATATGTACATATATATAAATACACATGCATATGTATGTATTCACATATATATACACACACACATACACGCACATATATATATATGTGTATATATATACATATGAATTCGTTAATTTATGTAGAAGAGCTCGGAACTACTCCTGCTATATCCTTTCAAATGATGAACCTCGGTCCATTTAACCACAGTTGAGCTGGCCAGAATTGCCAAGTCATTTAATATTTGGAGGCATTTAATTCTTAGCCAGTTAAGGTTAAAACATATTTATAAAAATAATAAAAACTTTTGCTATGGCCATAGACAGGTGAGCACTGTGTGTAATGCTGATTGATGTCCATTGAGGGAAATGGCAGTGGGATTTTCTAAGAGAAAGCTCAGCATGTTATAAGAAATGGTGAAGTCCTGGGAGTGAGTTGGATTTAGCATTAGGACCTAAGTGTCATAGGGAAGTGAATTAACAAAAAAAGACTATGGCTGTTTCCAGAATCCATCCTGAACTGATCTCTGTGGGTGTATGCGTGTGTGCACGCACATGTATGTGCAGATGTGTGTGAATTAAGAGCAGTTACGTGATAGGGCATTTCTGGTATCTCAACTGTTAGTGATTATGGCTGTACATTTTCCTCAGGACTTAATGGTATGTATTTTGAGTTATCAGTTCACTTATTTTGGTCATTTGAAAAGAGCTGGAGTTCTTTAAATATGTGAAAGTCGGTATGTCCAAAAAAATATAGAGGGTTTGGTAATCAACCAGGAAAGAAGAGGCATGGAGCCATTTGAATGAAATTGAGGTTTTAATAAAGAGGTAATTTCAGATTTGTTTCTGGAGTTATGAAACAAATTTAAACCAGATATACGCTTGAAATATTTGAAACTATCATCAAAAATTCCATGACAAGAAAAAAATTGGGCTAAGCATTATAGATGTCATATTTCTATTTGTTCTGATCTCGAGCAACGTAGAAAATCCATTGGGCATTTTTTCTTATATAAGTTCACTGACACCACTTTCATACAAGCAGTGACAACTGGACAATTCATTATTTTCTCATCTGTGTCTGGAAGTAATTCCTTTTTCTATGAGAGATTATAATTCACAGAAAGGCATATCTATCATATCCTGTCTCAGACTGTGTTGTCAAGGTATCAGTTTTCATTTCAGCCAGACTTGAATTTAAATCTGTGTACTTCAACAACATTAAAGGTGTTACTTCATCTTTCCAGTATACCTGATTCTTTATCTGTTAAATGGGATGAAAATATCTAGGATGAAAGATGTGATGAGAATTGAAAAATGAGCTTAGGAAAGAGTGGTACAATAAGTGGAGTCTGTGGCTGTTTAGTCATTTGTCTCCCTCTTCATGTAGACATTATTCCCACAGGATATGATGTGGCATGTTGTAGTGATACTCTGAGTCTTAATGAAACAAAGTTGTCTTGGCTACACAATAGTCTCACATTATAGATTTCCTGCTATACCATTTAGAAAATAATGAACCTGGCTCCACTCAACTACCATTGAGCTGGCCAGAACTGCCACATCATCTTGGGGGCTGGGGGGCATATAATTATCTCAATGTTTGGGGGCATATAATCTAAATTAAATAGACCTAAAACCATAAAAACCCTAGAAGAAAACCTAGGCATTACCATTCAGGACTTAGGCATGGGCAAGGACTTCATGTCTAAAACACCAAAAGCAATGGCAACAAAAGCCAAAATTGACAAATGGGATCTAATTAAACTAAAGAGCTTCTGCACAGAAAAAGAAACTACCATCAGAGTGAACAGGCAACCTACAGAATGGGAGAAAATTTTCGCAACCTACTCATCTGACAAAGGGCTAATATCCAGAATCTACAATGAACTCCAACAAATTTACAAGAAAAAAACAAACAACCCCATCAAAACGTGGGCGAAGGACATCAACAGACACTTCTCAAAAGAAGACATTTATGCAGCCAAAAAACACATGAAAAAATGCTCACCATCACTGGCCATCAGAGAAATGCAAATCGAAACCACAATGAGATACCATCTCACACCAGTTAGAATGGCGATCATTAAAATGTCAGGAAACAACAGGTGCTGGAGAGGAGAAATAGGAACACTTTTATACTGTTGGTGGGACTGTAAACTAGTTCAACCATTGTGGAAGTCAGTGTGGCGATTCCTCAGGGATCTAGAACTAGAAATACCATTTGACCCAGCCATCCCATTACTGGGTATATACCCAAAGGACTATAAATCATGCTGCTATAAAGACACATGCACACGTATGTTTATTGCGGCACTATTCACAATAGCAAAGACTTGGAACCAACCCAAATGTCCAACAATGATAGACTGGATTAAGAAAATGTGGCACATATACACCATGGAATAGTATGCAGCCATAAAAAATGATGAGTTCATGTCCTTTGTAGGGACATGGATGAAATTGGAAATCATCATTCTCAGTACACTATTGCAAGGATAAAAAACCAAACACCGCATGTTCTCACTCATAGGTGGGAATTGAACAGTGAGAACACATGGACACAGGAAGGGGAACATCATACTCTGGGGACTGTTGTGGGGTGGGGGGAGCCGGGAGGGATAGCATTAGGAGATATACCTAATGCTAAATGACGAGTTAATGGGTGCAGCACACCAGCATGGCACATGTATTCATATGTAACTAACCTGCACATTGTGCACATGTACCCTAAAACTTAAAGTATAATAATAATAAAATTAAAAAATAAATAAATAAATAAACAAAATTTTATAAAGGAAGAAAAAAAAGAAAAGCTGTATAATTTGTATGAGTTACAATTTATAATTTGTATTATAATTTGAGGTTAAAAATATGGTCAGTAAACATTTACCAGAATATGAAACAAGGCAACAACTCATGACTTACTTCAAAATGTCATTTTAATAGCAGTAATTTTTATTAAGGATCATAACTATGAAGAAAATTATTTTAGAAGGGATGGAATAATAATCTTCTTGGGTGTTCTTTTTTTAGTAATTAAAATTTCCATTTTCTTTGCTTACTGTAGTTGATTTCTTATATGGAGAAACTTCAGTGATAGATGCTTTCTTGCACATGATATTGATCATTGTATACTCAACTAACACTTATTAAATGCTAGCTGAATGCATTGAAAATCTACCATATATTGGTTGATGATACAGAAAGATAAGCCACAGTAGTTTCTCTAGAAGGACCCTTTAATTCAATAGGCAAATTAGATGTTAAAGTGATATTGTACATGGAAGTAGCCAAATTTGCCCTGAGGATAAACAGAGGAATTACAAATTTTAAGATAGCAAAATATATAATGGATTATGGCATATGAACAAAGTTGGAATAAGATTTAGCTACATATATTAAAAAATAAATGACAGAGGCTTAAATGAGATAGAAGCTTATTTCTGTTATATCTAAAACAATGTCAATCAGAGGCTGCTGTGGTAGCCTTCAATGTGATCAGAAGCTAAAGTTTCTTTCTTTCTGTTTCTTGCTTATATATAATGCTTGGCTTCAATTCTCAGGGTTATTTCATAAAAGGTGTCAGCAAACCAAGGCTTACAGACCAAATCCAGGGTCCAAAAATTTTGTATATGAAGTTGGTCTGGAGCACTGACACAGCATTCATCTATGTGTTGTGTATGGCTACTTTGCATAGTTGTGGCAGAATGTAGGCCTAGAAAGGCCAAGCATATTTGCTATCTGGACCTTTTCAAAAAAAAGAAAAAAGAAGTTCTAACTAATGATCTAAGACAGTGTTATCTAATAGAAATATAATATGAACATACATAATTTTAAATTTTCTAGAAGCCACATTTAAAAAGTAATATTTGAAATACAAAATTGATTAAATTAATAAAGTTTATTTAACACTTTATGCAAACATTTATGATTTCAACATGTAATTATTTACAAAATAATGAGATTATTTTATTATTTCCCCCTTAAGTCTTTGAGATATGGAATATATTTCAATTTGGACTTTCCACATTTCAAGTACTCAATGGCCACAAGTGGTAAGTAGCTACCACCTTGAACAGAAGAAAACTAGCATGTCTGAATAAATTCCACCCATATATTTTGCTTTCTAGATAGTAAGAAGAAGAAAGGGAAGAAGTTTTGAGAAAACCTACAGGAAGCAGTTTCACATAACACTTTTCATTAGACCACAACTAGATTGATATTCATTTTGTAAGGCATAGATTGATGTTTATTTTGTAAGGCATAGTGTCTGCTAGAGCATAGAAAAGCCATTTTTAAATTGTCAAATTTTGTGTAGGTAATAGAATGAAAAATGAAGAATTCTAGAGTAAATTTAATGCATGTGTGTTAATATATTATTATTGAGGTAGACAATACATGGACATATTACTAAGAGAAGGTATCATAATTATTTAAAATTCAATGAAATTTGACTTCAAATAAAAACAGGTGCTACTTCTACTTCTGAACAAGGTAAAGTAATAGGGACTGGCTTATCTTTCCAAGTGAAATAACTAAATGACCAGACAACATATGTGAAAAAATTTTAAAAAGGCTTTAAGGCATTAGAATTTAGGCAGTGAAGGACAGTGATCCACAAAAATGGGAGACAAAGTGAGAATTTAAGTGTTCAAGCTTACTGCCTGGATAGAGTTCCAAACCATTGAAAGAGAAAGCTGTCTCTCTGAGTTGATGAGACAAAACTGTGAGTTCCAGAGGCTAACGCAGCTAGAGTTCAGAGAATAGAGTAGAAAAAAGGAGAGAGCTGCATAAAGGCAGAGCTTTGGAGATTTGCACAGCATTGCCTACTGGCCCCCTTTATCCTCACTGCCCTCACCAAAAAGTTTTCAGTTGAATATGGCATGAATGTATGTTTGAAGAAACTAATCAAGACTAGGCAAAGAAACAACAAAAAGGAGAATAGGGAGTCATCCTAGAAATTACACTTGGCTGAGAATGGCTTATCTTCCTGTCAGGGCCATTAGGTAGAGTATTTACAAATGTAGTGCCTTAAGAGTGGGCAGAAATTAGGTCTACACTAGACACTTCCTTGGTCTTGCATAACAGAACAAAACTTCGAAGAATCATACTGTCTCAAAGTAACGTAACAATGTTTTAGAGAAGAACACATAAATATTTATTATAATAAAAATTAGGCAGCAATGAACAAAATAAATATCACAGTGTTTAATATCCAATCAAAATAGGCATCTAAAGAAGTGGATAACTATGTTTCATAAGGAAGAGGAAAATAAATGCATCAGAACTAATCCAGAAAACTCATAGTTGAAAAAATTTGTAGACAGGACAATAAGAATTATTGTGACTAAGCAGTAAACACCCAGAAAACACAGAAAAAAAATAAGCATGTTAAATGGAGATATAGATATTTAAAAAAACAGACAAAACTATTTTTAGAAATGAAAATGTAATGTCTGAGATGAAAAATACTCTAAATGCAATTAAACACATATTAGACACTGTAGGGAAAATAATTGGTAACCATAAAGATACAAAATAGAAAATATGCAAAATAAAACATGGAAAAAAACAAAAATCATACAAATTAAAACAATAACCAGAATGTCAGTAAATTGTGGGACAAATTTAAGTGGCCAAATATACAGGTAATTGGATTCCCTGGATTCCAGGAAGAAGAGGACCTGGGAGGAGGGATAGAAAAAATACATTAAAGAAATAATGGCCAAAATTTTTCTAAATTTGATGAGAATTCTGAACCTATAGAACCAAGAAAACTGACAAACTCAGTCACAAGGAAGATAAAAGAAAATTACAGCAAGATATATCATAATCAGATTGCTTAAAACATGATAAAAATCCAAATATTAAATCAGCCCAAGGAAAAAAGTATATTACAAATAGGGCACCAACATTAAGCATGACAGTAGATTTCTTGCCTAAAACAATGTAAGACAGAAGACAGTATAGAAATATACTTAAAATACTAGAAAAACATATCCCCGCCAGGAAAAAAAAATGAAAAGAACTTGCCATTTTAGTTTTCTAAAGCTGCTGTAAGAAACTACTACAAACATGGCAACTGAAAATAACACAAATTTTTCTCTCAGTATTCTGGGATTCAGAAGTCCAAACTCAAAGAATTATCAGTACTGGCTCCTTCTGAAACTCTGAAACAAAATTATTTTATATCTCTCCAATTTAGGTAGCTTCCAGTGACACTTGACATGCCTCGCCTTGGATTTTCATAAGTCAATCTCTGTCTTCACATGGCCTTCTGCCTTCACATGACTTTCTTCTCTGTTTCTTCTATTTTTCTGCTGCTTACAAGACACTGGCCATTGGATTTAATTTCCATCCTAACCCAGGATGATCTCTACTTCAGTTCCTTACCTCAACTACCTCTGCAAAGATTCTTATTCCAAATAAATTCACATTCTGAAGTTGTGGGTGGAAATATATTTCGGGAGTCACTATTGAACTTACTATATCTGCCAACCTAGAATTCTATACCCAATAAATAGATCTTTCAAAAAATGAAGGTAAAACAATGACGTTCAGATACATGCAACTGGAAAAATTTCATCACCAGCAGACCAAGATTACAAGTATTCAAGGAAATAGTTCAGCCAAAAGAAAAATCATAATTAGAAATCTTGGTTTATACCAAGAAATGAAAATTTCTCAATATAAGAACTATGTGGGCAAACACTGAAGATATTTTTCTCATTATTTAAATCTCTTGAAAAGACAAGTCATTCTTTTAATGCAAAACTAGAACGAATGCATTACTTCTATATATAGAAGAAAATTGCAGGACAACTATAGTATAAAGACTAGCATGGGAGAAATGGAAGTATACCATCATAATATTCTTGTACCATACAAAATTTGATGTGATATCTTTTGAATTTATACTTGATACCAGTCCTAAAGAAACAAAAAAAACAAAGATTAATAACTATTAAGACAACAGAAAATATACAAGTAAACCATAAAAAAATCTGAAAGAAGGAGAAAAAGGGAGAGAGGAACAAACAAATGGAACAATTAGAAAATGAACAGCAATATTATATGAGAACATATTCATATCAGTATTCACACTAAAAGAACACAATTCAAAGATACCAATAAAAAGGCAGAGCTTATCCAATTGATTACCAAATAAAACCAAATTATGTTCTCCCAATAACAAAACAACTGGAAATATTAAAACACAAATAGGTTAAAAGTAAAAGGATGAAGAAATGTACTATGCTAATATTAATTAAATAAGTTTTAAGTGATAATATTAATATCAGAAAAAGAGATTTTATAGCAAAAAATATTTCCAGGTATAAAGACAGTGATGAATAGTAATGGAAGTGTTAATTCATAATAAGGACAGAATAATACTAAACTTTCGATATTTAATGAGTCTTTTCTCATTGATATTTATAAAACGCTACCTAATGACAGAATACAGATAGTTTTCAAGTGTATAATAGAAAATGTAATGAAAATTTTTCTGGGCCATAAGGCAAATGTGAATAAATTTGTGTGAAATTAAATTATAGAAAAAATGTTCTTTAGAACAGGGGAATAGTTATAAATGAATTTAGAACAAGGAAATAGTTATAAATGAATGAATTGGAAAAATCTGCAAATATTTAGAAACTAAATAGTATTCTTTTAGACCCCAAAAGACAATCAAAATTGTTATTAGAAAGTATATATAACTGAAGAAAAATAAAAATGCAACCTCTCTAAATTTGTGGAATACTGGTAAAGCATTACTTTGAAGGAGATGTATAGCATTGAATGTTTTTATTATAAAAGAGAATGGCCTCAAATTTGTGACCTTCCAATTTAACATTTGAGTTGTTTGTTTTTAAAAAAGAGTCAATGAAACTTTATGTAAGCAACAGAAAGTAGATAATAAAGGTTCATATAAAATCAATAAAATAAAAAACAGAAAAATATAGTGTTAATCATAGAAACAATAAGTCTTATCTTTCAAGAAAAAAAAAATTGATAATTCTATATAGCCAGAGTAGGAAAATTAAGATAGAGGAAACACAATTCTAATATGAGGAATGAAAGAGGTAACTTTAGTGGAGATCCTACTGATATCAAATGGATAAAAATGGAATATTATCAACAAATTCATGTCAATACATTTCATAATTATATAAAATGGACAATTTTTTAAAAAATGACAAATGCAAAGCCTATTCAAGAGGAAACAGAATAGCTAATTATGTATATATGTATAATATATAATAAGCATATATACTCATTAAATTTATAAGTTATTTATATTTACTTATATAAGTATTATATTTAATATAAGTATATATAATATATAAGCATATAAAATATACTTATAAATATGAATATAAGTATTATATTTGTATAAATTATAAGTATACAAGTGTATAATACTTATAAATATATACTTGTATAATACTTATAAAATAAATTAGATTATGGTTGAAAAAACAGGCCCAGGTAGGTAACTGATGACTTCTATGACATTTTAAAGAAGAATTCATATCAGTTCTAGAAAACTATTCCAGAATATTGAAAAGAAATACTTCCCATTTTTTAGAAAGTCAGTATTAATCTAATATCAACAATATATAAACTTTTTCACAAATTATATATCTGTATACATATATATATATATGATCCATACTCTACATGACAAGCAAAAATTCAGTTAATATAGCACATAGGCCTAAATACAAATTCTACATCTGAAAAGCTTCTAGAAGATGTCACAGGGTGTCACTTTTCCATCCGGAAAACTTTGCAGCTGGTGGTGCCTTTGCCGGAATTTTGCTTCAGCCCCCTACCAGACTGGATTCCATGGCTGTCAAGGGTGGGCTAGAGGCGGAGCAGCCAGGGGTGTGTGAGCAAGCACTGGGTCCGGCCACTGCACACTGCCAGCCTGTGGCAGGGTGGGTAGCTCTAGGTGCCCATACAGGCTCCGGCTCCATGAGAGGCTATGGCTGGAACAGGCATACCACAAGCAGCTTCTACTGCAGACACTAGGGACCGCAGTGTCACGTGGAAGCTTGGAGACACCAGGAACCACAGAGCCCCAAAGAGAGTGTCACAGCCCTGGCTCGGGGATCCCCTAAGTCTGGGATCCCCGAAGGGCTCTAGCTCTTCTTTCCTTCTCCTTGCCTACAACTTGATGAACGAGGGGCGTGTTTCAGCCCTGTTTGTGTTGCAGCTCTTTCAGTCCCGCCATTTGGCAGGTCCCAAGTTCTTGTCCCACGTCGCGGGGGAATAAGGTATGAGGACAACTGGATGGTGAGCAAAGCAGAGAGGAGTTTCATTGAGTGACAGAATGGCTCTCAGGAGACACGAAGTTGGTAGCTCCTTTCTGCAGGCAGTTCATCCCAACAAGTGTCCAGTTCTTAGTGGAGAAGAGACCCATGATGAAAAGTGGAAAAGAGCCTGGGGCTCCTTTCCCCAGGCAGGTTGCCCCAGTGAGTGTCCAGCTCTCAGTGGAGAGGAGACTCGTGGTGCGTAGCTCCTTCTGCAGGCAGGTTGTCCCAGTGAGTGTCCAGCTATCAGTGGAGTGGAGACCTGTCGTGGGTAGCTCCTTTCTGCAGGCGAGTTGTCCTGAAAAGTAGAAAAGACCCAAAGTGGGTAGCTCCTGCCCGCAGCTGGTAGTCCCAACGTCTGTCTGAGTCTGGCTTAGTCTGGGGTTTATAAGAGCTCAGAAGAGAGAAAGTGCCATCCTGACTGGTCCATGGGCAGACAAAGATCGGCCTGGAAAAAGCACCATAGGTTCTCACTCTGGGATGCGGACTCCCCAGGGAACTGGCAGCCTGGTCCCCAGGCTTCAGGCCTTCTCGGACTTGAAGGTGGGATTTCCCTGAGGACCCGCCCTTTTCTGCCCAGGAGCCCATCTGCCTCCTGCTGCCAAAAACATGTCATCCGTGGCCCCAGGCTGTTCATGCTGATGGGCACGTGCAGGCCTGTGTCAAGCTGCCCTCAGCCCGCCCACCCTACACTCCCTTCCTGACCTCGTCTGTGCCCAAAGTTTCAGAGCAGCCTGAGGTTGCTGGGGGCTGGCACGTCAGCTTCACCCTGAGAGTGTGCACACCCAACCGAGTTGTGACAGCGCCCAGGCTTGGCTTCAGCTTTGCTCTGAAATCGGAGTGGGTGCCGAGAATGGGAGAGGCCAGAAAGCGGAAGCAGGTACTTCTGAGCTAGCAGGGGCAGGGGCAGTTTCCTAGGCCTCTGAGAGTGCAGGGATGCCAGGGTCCAGAGCCACGGCTGGGCAGCTACAGCTGCATCTGGGAATGCAGGGCTCCTGCCGCACCAACTCAGAAAGGGGCGGGGCTCCTGCCTGTTCCCAGCTCCCATCTGCTTTATGGAGTGCACAGCCCCAGCCGCACCCCCACCGCTGCAGCCAAGGTCTTCACAGGGGCTGCTCCAGATGGGCCACTGCTACCATCGATAATATAGAAGAATATCTTTGTGATATTTGTAAGGCAATGAATGATTTTTTTATTCGCTATCATAAGCATGTTTCATCAAAACCTGAAAAATGGATTTAGCAAAATTACTATTTTTGTTTCAATTTCCAACATTTATTTTAAGTACAGGGGTACATGTGGAGGATGTGCAGGTTTGTTACATAGGTAAACGTTTGCTGCACAGATTATCTCATCACCAAGGTATTAATCCCAGCATCCGCAATCTGTCCTTGATCCTCTCCCTCTTCCCACACTCTGCCCTCTGACAGGCCCCAGTGTGTATTGCTCCCACCGTGTGTCCATGTGTTCTCAATATTTAGCTCCCACTTATAAGTGAGAACATGCTGTATTTTGTTTTCTGTTTCTGGGTTAGTTTGCTAAGGATAATGGCTTCCACCTACATCCATGTTCCTGCAAAGGACAATATTTTGTTCCTTTTATATGGTTGCATAGTATTCCATGATGTATATGTACCACATTTTCTTTATCCAGTGTATCTTTGGTGGGCATTTAGGTTGATGCCATGTCTTTGCTATTGTGAATAGTGCTGCAGTGACCATACGCATACATGTGTCTTTATAATAGAATAATTTGTATTCTTTGGATATATACCCAGTAATGGGATTGCTGGGTCAAGTGATATTTCTGCCTCTAGTTCTTTAAGAAATTGCCACACTGTCTTTCACTATGGTTGAACTAATTTTCATTCTCACCCACAGTGTAAAAGTGTGCCTTTTTCTCCACAACCTTACCAGCATCTCCTGTTTTTTGACTTTCTAAACGTTCTGACTGGTGTGAGATGGCAGCTTATTGTGGTTTTGATTTGCATTTCTCTAATGATCAGTGATATTGAGCTTTTTCTCATGTTTTATGGCCACATATATGTCTTCTTTTGAGAATTGTCCGTTCATGTCCTTTGCTTACTTTTAAATGGAGTCGTTAGTTTTCTCTTATAAATTTAGGTTCCTTATAGATGCTGGATATTAGACCTTTGTCAGATGGATATACCACAACAATTTTTCCCATTCTGTAAGCTGTCTGTTTACTTTGTTGATGCTTTCCTTTGCTGTGCAGAAGCTCTTCAGTTTAATTAGATCTAATTTGTAAATTTTTGCTTTTGTTGCAATTGCTTTTGGCATCTTTGTCATGAATCTTTGCCTGTGCCTATGTCCTGAATGGTATTGCCTAGGTTTTCTTCTAGGGTTTTTATAGTTTGGGGTTTTACATTTAAGTATTTAATCCATCTTGAGTTGATTTTTGTATATGGTATAAGGAAGGGGTTCCAGTTTCAGTTTTCTGCATATGTCTAGACAGTTCTCCCAGCACAATTTATTAAATAGGGAATCCTTTCCCCATAGCTTGTTTTTGTCGGGTTTGTTGAAGATTAGATGGTTGTAGGTGTGTGGCCCTGTTTCTGGTTCTCTTTTCTGTTCCATTGGTCTATATGTCTGTTTTTGTACCAGTACCATGCTGTGTTGGTTACTGTAGCCTGATGGTATAGTTTGAAGCTGGGTAGTGTGATGCCTCCAGCTTTGTTCTTTTTGCTTAGGATTGCCTTGGCTATTCAGGCTCATTTTTGGTTCCATATGAATGTTAAAGTAGTTTGTTTTTAATTCTGTGAATAATGTCAATGATAGTTTAATGGGAATAGCATTGAATCTATAAATTGCTTTGGACAATATAGCCATTTTCACAATATTGATTCTTCTTATCCATGAGCATGGTATTTTTTGTTTGTGTCATCTCAGATTTCTTTGAGCAGTGATTTGTATATATATATAATTTATTAAAATATGTTTTTGAGTATATGATGAAGCAATTGTGATAGTCTCACTTAGCTATTAAAATTTTTGAATGCTTTATTCTCTTATCCTCTCCATAAGAGAATATGAAGAAGATAGAAATGTTATACAGTCATTACTACACAATGACATTTCACTCAACAAAGGATCGCATATAAGATGTTGGTCCCATAAGATTAAAATGGAGATGAAAAATTTGTATCCCTTAGTGAAGCCATCGCTGTCAAACTTTATAACTTCATAATATAACACATTATTCACATGTTTGTGGTGAGACTGGTGTAAAAAACCCACTGCACTGACAGTCGAATACAGTATAGTACACACAATTATGTACAGTTTATGATACTTACAATGATAATAAATGACTGTTATTGCTTTAAATATTTACTATACTTTACTTTTCATTGTTACTTTACAGTGTAATCCTTCTATTTATTAAAAAAGTTATCTGTAAAACAGCCTCAGGTGCCTTCAAGAGGTATTCCAGAAGAAGATATTGTTATCATAGGAGATGAAGTTCCATGTGTATTATTGCCCTTTAAGACTTTCCAGTGACAAGATGTAAAGATGGAAGATAGTGATATTGATGATCCTAAGCCTGTGTAGGCCTAGGCTAATGTGTGTGTTTATGTCTTGGTTTTTAACAAAAAAAGTTTTAAAAATAAAAAAAAAACAGAACAAAGCTTATAGAATAATAATATGAAGAAAAAAATTGTGTAACTGTCCAATATGTTTGTATTTTATGCTGAGAGGTACTACAAGAGTCAAAAAGTTAAAAAAAATAAAATTTATAAAGTAAAAAATTTACATTGTTAATTATTGAAGAAAGAAAAATTATTTTTATAAATTTGGTGTAGCCTAAGTGTACAGTGTTTATAAAATCTACAGTGGTATACAATAATTTCCTAATGATTCATATTCACTCACCACTCATTGACTCACCCAAAGCAACTTCTAGTCCTGCAAGCTCCACTAATGATAAGTGTTCTATGCAAGCATACTCTTTGTAATCTTTTACACCACATTTTTACTGTACCTTTTCTATATTTAGACACAAAAATATTTACCACTCTGCCTATAATATTCAATACCGTAACATGCTGTACAGGTTTATAGCCTAGGAGCAATAGGCTATACCACATAGCGTAGCTGCGTACTAGGCTATACCATTTAAGTTTGTGGAAGTACTCTATAATGTTCCCACAATGTTGAAATCGCCTAATAATATATCTTTCCGAATATTTCCCCAGTCATTAAGTAGCTCATGACCATACAATTGTGGCCAATCCAACATAAATGTCAGTCTGTTGAAAGCTTCCTGAAGGTGTTTTCCTTTTCCAGATATAAGAACAAGATGTAGTTTTTTCCAGGTTCTTATTGCTGTGGATGGATATATATGTGTGTGTGTGTGTGTGTGTATATATATATATATGTATATATATACACACACACACATATACACATATATACATATATACATACATATATGCATATTATATATACACACATATATACATATATATACACACACACACATATGATACTTGGTGATGAGACGCTATCTTGCAATAGTGAAGGAAAGGAACAATAATCACTGATATGCCAATCCTAACATTTTTGGACAACTAAATGAACTTATATGCACACTTATGTCTATATCTCTTTATATAAACGTATGTATTTAAGCCATCAAAATTAAATCGTTCTATTTTATGCAATCAAATACATTCTTCGTAATAAATATAGTGTGGGTCAAAATTTTTGTTCGGTGTAAGAGTTATAGAAGGGAAAGATGTTGGCCTTGATTCTAAACACTTCAATGTTTGATGAGAATGACGAAGAAAGTAATGCTTAGAGATTTGCTCTTGTTAGATAAAGACAGTACTAAGGAATCATTCAGAAGACCATTATACAGCAAGGGCAGGACAAGGAAGGCTTCCTGGAGATGTAGACTTGGGGGAAAAAAGTGTTATTTAGCCGGAAAAAGAGATGAAAGAACATTCTGTCCTCAAAGAATATTTGTCTATCTAAAACGGCTTGCTTCTATACTCAAAATATCTCTTTAGTTGATCTGCTTCTCTTTCCTCCCGATCCCTCAACCCTAGTTCACCTGATCTACCTGAGTAATCTCCATGCAGGTTTTATTTTCTATGTGTACTTCCGCTTCCCCAAATCCATTTCTAATTAGCAGCTAAAGTGATGTTTTTAAAAGAGATCATGCCACTCCCCTACTCTAAATTTTGCAATAGCTTCTCATTTCACTTAAAGTAAAAACCTGTAAGTTATTTTATATAACAAGTGTCCAGGAAGTATGAAGACAAGATGAAAAAAATGATACAAGTTGGTCAGCCAAATAATAATGCCTTAGAATTAAATCTGGATTATCTGAAGTGAAAAATATTTCAGCTACAATACAATACACCATCAAAACCACTCCATTAATGTTTTTGAAGAGCTAACATATTGCGTGCAAGACTTATCTATTTTTATTCCCTTTTGAAATATCTCCCCCAAAAAATGGAAGGTTAAAAAAAGAGAGAAAATATTGCTGCACCAATTGACCTGAATGGCATTAAGCTCTCAGTGTGTGAAAATGAATCAGACATAGTTTATTATAAAGTCAGTGAAATAAATTCATGCAGGTTAGGAAAATACATGGCTTGTATGCCGACATTGCAGAAAGGATTTATATGAAGGAAAAGTCAAAAACTCCCCACTGTAATACACACCACGATCTATTGTGGGAACAAGACACCTCTCTGTAAGCAACTGGGAACATGGAGAACACAATCTTTTATCCATGACTTTATGTAGATGCTTTGTTTTTGCAAAATCTTTTTCCCTTTTGCCTCTAGAAAGGTACTGAGATTTTCGAACAGTGCAAAATGAGCAAAACAGTACTTGATGGAGGAAAGTGTATATTTAAGTGTGTCAAATAGGCTGGTTTCGAACAGGGATGTCTGTCATAATGTTTTATTGGCTCAAGCTGCATTCCAGCATCTGGAATAACGAATCAAGTAAGAAAGTTGTGGTCTCCCTTGTGTTCTGACTGACAGAACTGTGACAAAAGGACATGGGAGGTAGAAAAAAGGGATTAAACAAATATGAGAAAATTATAAGACCTTGAAGCTATTAGCTACAGATGTTAGTATGGAAGTTCACATGTTATCAGAGAGTTACAAAGCTTCTTCAATTCCATGTTACCAAGAATGCTCTGCAGTTGTAATGTATGTTGATGTGTCTTCCTTTATCTCACTGTAGAAACCATGGTGTTTTTCCATGTTTACAATGCCACATCCTGGGATTTTCTTGCTGGATGGAACCCAGTTCTTGCCCTTAGAAAGCTCTTGTTCCAGGGTAGGAAAGGAGACGCTTGAACAAAGAAAGACAACATGTAATCGGTATTCAGTCACTCAGGTTATAATGCATTGGATTGAAGAAAGGATTAATAATTGCTTTTCCTTTGGGAATTAAATGAGTCTCCATGGAGGCCGTGCTGTGTAAGACAAACAAAAGTTTGAAATAATTTCATTTTCATGTGTAGCAAATGCTATGGTAATAAAAATCTTAATACTATTGATATGTATTATTTTGGTGTTTTATATTTTCCCCAATAAATAACACTTAATTTAGAAATAGGTTTATTAGTTGAATTACTTAATTTTCCAAAGCCTAATTGCCATATGGTTCAATGGTAACAGCCATACCTCTTAATCCAGATACCTCATTTTGCACTAAATTTTAATTTGCAATTAATGTATAATTTCTACATTACATACACATCATCAAATAACTCTCATTTTTTAATAAAAATAACTATGAAAATAGCATGTAATATATTATTTCTCCTTCACAGCTTAGTTTAAATATTTGTATTTATTTGTATAGCAATGTAAGAATATCTGATTTTTATATTTACAATCTCTGTTCTAACATAGCTTGTCCAATTGTGTATATTTTATTATTGGTTAATTTTTCCTTCCCTCTGCTAAAAACACATAAATTAGTTATTTGCGTGTGATATACTTGTATGAATAAATCAGGAGAGAAAGAAACTAAATATATACTTTGTAAAAATGAAATCATTGCAGCAAGTCCTGTATTACTTATGATTCTAGTCAGATGTATTCAGTAACAGCACTGCCTGATACCTTTTTCTATTTACACAGAGTAAGGGCTGTGACTACTGATGTATAACTCCTAAGGAAAGAAGGCAGAATTGATGTCAATGGCAATTCAGAATGCCCAAATTTTGATTCAGGCTCCTGACATTAGGCAGCCAGGCCGATCAGTCCCTGACATTGCTAGTGAGATTACAAAAATAGCCAAATGTTGTTAAATTCATAAGGCATAAATTTAATGAAACCACAGTCCTGCAATCACCAGTGAGCACTTTGTTCTCACAGGACACAGAAATTAAGCAATCATTCCGACCCAACTTTTCAATTAAGGAGATGAGCGGAAGTCTGTTGTGTGGTGCAATTCAAGATGAATAAAGAGAGGATGTGTTAAAGTGAAATCAATCGACTAAAAGTCATGGCCACTTGTGTGAAATTCAGTCTCTTAACTGTAAATTTGATTGGTATGATGCTGCGGGATAGAGTTATAAATGGGGACTTCAGAGTCATTACAGAAATAAGAGATCTGAGAAAAGCTTCTTCATTGAAGACGCAGGAATTACAAGTATTATTTTTAGACTAGGTTAAATTGAGAAAAAAATACACACAATCTGAAATATAGTAGAGGGCTAAATAAAAGGCAGTTTTCTCTCTTTCCTTTTTTTGCTCAAGATCCATTCTTTTTAATTAGGAACAAATTATTCTTAAGGAGTCCAGAACAGTTCACTAACATTTGTCTGTTAAATTAAGTAACTACGCAATTATAGGTACAAAATTCACTATAAGTAATTAGGGGAGAACAATGTGATAGAATTCCAATCATCCAAAGTAATTTTGCAGAGAGGATAACCAAAATGAAGCCTATTGTTTGTGAAGTAAAATGTAAACATAGTCACATTTTAAAGTCTCTAAACAGGTTAACAAGATGAGAAGCAAATAGGGTCCAGATAGCAATTATAGTCGATGTAAAAGTGTGCATTCCCATAAGTAGTAAAATGAAAAAATAGTCTTTGGCAAGAAAAAAAAGCATCTACTAGGATCAGATGAAATTGGAGAAATTATTAATAGCTGAGGGAATGTTCATAAAGGAATATCACCAAGCCTAATAAGTCACAGGGGGAAACACCCTCCCAAAAATCATCTAAACATTTAACGATAACTGACTAGAAAATCAAGATTTTCAATGGCAATGAGGCAAAAGGTTTTATTCAATATAAGTCAAAAAACATTTATTAAATATTTATCAAATGGCAAATACTACACTAAGCACTGAGCATGAAATAATCATAAGACATTTATAATCCCTGCCCTGTAGAAGCTAATATTTCAGTGAGGAAGAAAGGCAAGTAGGCAGATATTTCCAATCTCAACTCATTTTAGGAGTTTGCCAAGTAAAATCCCAGACCTATAAGCCCCATAAAGCTATAGTCTTTTTTTTTTTTTTTCTGCTAAATGCTTTATTTCCATTTGCTTCAAAGCTTGGGAAAGGGCTCCAAGGTGCTTAAAAAGGTGCCTAGTTGCTGGAGGCAGTCTTAAGCAGAAGCCCTGATACTCTAAGAGAGGACCTTGAGACCTAGGACCTACCTAGGTTCAGTAGGCTCCTAGTCATGCTAAAGGTGAGCCTTTGCAAGAGATGCCTTCCCAGCCAGGCCTGGGGCCTGACTAGCCTGTGGAGGTTGGCCACTCATCTTCTTGATGAGTTTCACTTCCTCAGCTAGAAAGTGCCTCTCCAGGGAGTCACAGAGATGAAAATCTGTGTGGCCAAACCCAGTGCATGAAGATCCAAAAGGTCCTGGTTCATGTCCTTCTCCAGGGCTATGGCACCTTCCAAGACATGCATGGTTTTACCCCACTCATTTTGAGATTGCTTCTGAACATCCTGAAAGAGAGCATGGCCCCCAAGCTGGTTTTGCACCTTCAAGAGTTGTTCTGAACCCTCACACCTCTCCTTGGTCAATTCACAGATAAAGTGGCCCATGCCTTCCAGAGGCACATTGTTATGGTTGAAAAGAAGTTCTGAGAAAGGTACGTGCTGGAGGGCTGCAGATGCAAATTGATCAGGTGGTTGATGGCTGCTTCCACCTTGGTGGAATATTTTCTTTTATTTCAATTTATGTTTTAGACAAGGATTACATGTGCACGTTCCTTTCACGAGTATGTTGCACCCAAGTACTGAGCATAGTATCCAATAGGTGGTTTTTCAACTCACACCCTCTGCCCTCTCTATGCCCCCTAGTAGTGTGCAGTCTCTGTTGTTCCCATGATTATGTGCATGTGTGCTCAATGTTTAGCTCCCACTTATAAGTGAAAACATGCTATATTTGGTTTTCTGTTCCTTCATTAATTTGCTTAGGATAATGGCCTCCAGCTGCATCCATGTTGCTGCAAAGGACATGACTTGATTCTTTTTATGGCTGTGTAGTATCTCATGATATATACATATCACATTTTCTATACCCAATCTATCGTTGATGGGGCCCTGGGTTGATTCTATGTCTTTGATATTGTGAATAGCACAGAGATGTACATACAAGGACATGTGTCTTTTTCCTTTGGGTACATATCTATTTTCCTTTGGGTACAAATCCAGTAATGGGATTTCCGGGTTAAATCGTAGTTCTGTTTTAAGTTCTTTGAGAAATCGCCAATATGCTTTCCATAGCAGCTGAACTAATTTACACTCCCTGGGTTGAATAATTCTCATGAATCTGGGAGCTCATTGTCTCATGGTTGGTCATCAAGAAGGCCGCAAAGCAGTGTTGGCTGGTCTCAGAAGCAGGAGATGGCTGAGAAGATAGTCTTGGAGTTTGCAAGTGGAGAGGAGATTGGAGGTTGGTCAAAGGCTGGAAGAGAGGGAGTCCCCAGGTATGCTCTGTCAAAATACTGTTAAAGCAAGAAACACATCTGTGGAACCTCTCAGAATGCTGCTGAAGCTAGAGATTTGTGATGTTTTAGTTTCGTTTTGTTCTGTTTTATCATATATGGTATACATACAATCATATAGTGTATTATTGGTACATAGTGGGTTTTAAATATTTATTGAATAATTGTGTAATGAAATGAAAAGGGAAATATTATTCTGATTAAAGGAAAATGATTTTGCTTTTTTATGGAAATATTATCCAAACTGTACGCCATCTATCCTGTTGGTAAAAAAGCTGTGTACACAACCTCACCGTAAGTGTATGTATTTTATGTCCATGTACTACTGTGCTAATCTATTAAGAACATTAGACAATTTAAGCAAAATAAAGATAAAAATACATAAAAATATAAATTCTAATGTTTTTCTTCTTATAGTCTGATAAATTTTTGTACCTATCTCCTGGGGTGCATGAAATTAGTTTGTTTTAGGGATCAAATATAGCAGTAAAAATATTATCTTACTTCATATGGCACAATGGAAATTTAAGGTGACATTTTTTTCTGTAATCCTAAAAGTGAGGGGTGGAGAAATACATGTTGTGAAATTGGTAAAAACAAGTTAATGGTCTGGTACATTTCAGTTGGGCAAAACAGGTCAGGAAATGCACATGTGAAAAGACAGTTATAATGGTATTTGTTGGATCTTCAGGTGAGTTAATTCCCAATTTTTAGATAAAGGAATACCCTTCTTAAAGATAGTGTTTGTAGAAAAAAAATGTTTCCTGGTCAAATACATTAAGTTGTCTAACCTTTGAACATATTTATACAATTTTGCCTTTTACTGTAGATTTCTCAGAGCCCAATTAACTAATACGCACTAAAGACAATATAGGAAAAAAGAATGAAATGCATTTCTAAATTAGTGAAACATTATTAACAAACATAAATTATGCTTAATTAGATTTCTACTTTTACTGGAGTTTTCTTGTAAGAAAATCTGGTTACATTATTTCATGATTCTCTCCAAGATGATTTGGTTGACAATGTAGTAAACATACTCATATAGTAAACGATATGTATCATTAGCATCTCTGAGATAAAGGCCAGGAAACCCTGCCCTTGAAAGTCAACAAAAAGAAAACTCCAATTAATGCTACCTGATGGCTTGAAGACCCAGTTTGAAAAGCTCTCCTTACTATTTTATGGGTGTCATTAGACCCTACCGACCTCTGTCAACTATTATGGAGACCCTATTTGCCTTTAATTATGTGTAGTAGTGTTCCTAATACTTTCAGGAATGGTTTTCGGCCATGCCTGAAAGTGGGCTGGCTGGAGTTATAGGAAACCTCAAAAACAGGTCCTGGATTCTTCCAAAGCACAGAATAATCAAAATAGGGAAAACAAATAGAAAAGGGCTGTAGCACATTCCTAGTGCTTCCTGCATGGAGGAATCTAAGGTCAATTTCCCAGGTCTCTCATCCCTTCCAGCCACCTACTTTCAAACCTGGCTATTCATAAAGACATTAGGATACCAGTGCGTATTAGTAAATGTGATATTGGATATCTATGACAATAGAATAGGTGAAATTTTCCAGATGGATCCAAAGGCAGTAACGATGTTCATCCACAGGATCTAGTTTCATCTCTGGCAATTGTTTCATTTTTATTTTCATTATCTCAAGCCATACATGGGAGTCACAGCACGATCAAGATTTCACCACTTTTATCATGAATAATCTTAGAAGAAAGACTCACTACAATAATTTCATAAAAGTCCTATTTGGAGGCATATCATCATAGATTAGATTATATGTCATCTTTGAGCAACCACTGTGACCAGGGAGATACAATGCTCTGATTAGTAAGATAATATTTTCAATGTTGAATGTTGAATGTGTGAAAGAAGTTAAATATACCCACACCAAATGTGCTATGATTCAGGGAGAGATGTTTCCTATTGAAATATCACAGTTTGTTATCTTAAAGCAGAATAGATGATGGGTAATAAAAATTAACAGATGTCCTTCACAGAGGGAAATCCTGTGACATTTCTTTCTTTGAGAAACTATCATCAGAATGATCCAACTTTCATTATAATATCGCTCTTAATGGGGATCAAAACTTTAATGTAGATTGACATGTGTCAGGGTTCATCTTCCTTCCTTCCTTCTTTCCTTCCATCCTTCCTGCCTTTTTTTTTTTTTTTTTTTTTTTTTGGAGTCTTGCTCTGTCACCCAGGCTGGAGGGCAGTGACGCTATCCTGACTCACTGCAGCCAGTGCCTTCCAGGCTCAAGTCATCCTCCCACATCAGCCTCCTAGGAAACTGAGATTGCAGGTGCATGCCACAATGCTTAGCAAATTTTTTAATGTTTTGTAGAGATGAGATCTCACTGTATTGCTTAGGATGGTCTCAACTCCTGGACTCAAAGGATTCTTTTACCTCCCACAAAGTACTGGGATTACCAGTGTGAGCCACTGTGCCTGGCCCATATTTTCTTATGGAAGAGATTTTGCTTAATTTTCCATACAGATTTGTCATAGATCCACCAACTATCGAAAATACATTGTTTGTTTTTCAAATGCAATAACAATTTCATTTTATAGGGTTTTTCATCATATAAATATTAATATTTTATATACTTAAGAAATGGAATTGAGACTATCCCATTAGGGGCAAAACTTTATGAACATCTAATGTGTTTCTTTTCTATCCATGTCAGTTTTCCTCAAATGCTGTCCCTTTGAACTGAGCATTAGCAAATCATTCGTTCTTTGTGACATTATATGCTTCTGAAATTCAGAGATCACAGCAGCTAAAGAAGGGAAGACTTTTAAAATGACCACTAAGTCAAGCTTATGAACTTCTGCCACAGCAGGAACTCAAAAAAATTTCATAGCAATGATCTTTATAGTCAGGAAATGTTTATACTATTAAAGTTATAATACCATGTTGAAATATAAAATCATTTTCAATTGTTGATGAATTTTAAAACATATTTAATTGAAAAATATTTGTATTTCTATTATGGTATTTTAACATGTTATTTTAATTTAATTTATTTTAATAATGCAATATGAATTACCTAGGAGTCATTACTTTATAGCAGAAATGGAAAATATTATCTAATGAAATTGCATTCAATTAGATAAGTTTTATATATAATTGCACATATAAAAGAATAGATGAACTTGAATATTTACAAATGTAGAGCACATGTGTAAGAGTGCCAGAGGGAAACTAGTAACTAGACAATGTTTTTCAATGAGTTTGTTCAATCTAAATTATTATTTTGAATTCTCTTTTTAAGTTACTGATACTCTGTATAATTACTTTTTCTTTTATTTTCTTCCAGGAATAAAGACAATATGTTCAATATTATTTAATCTTGTATATGATAATCTATGTTAAATCAAACCTTAGAATTCTATTTCATTAAGATATCACTACAAAATTTTTTTAACCTCTAAAATGTTATATTAAATTTTTATTTAACATATTTAATTATATAACATAACTTAACATAATTCTCTCTTATTAAAGTACTGGTCAAACAGCATGTTTTAAGTAATTGTTGTGAAAACTCTCACATTCCATATCGTTGACTTTTGTTTTACATTAAACAGGTTATTTCAAAAAGCATAACTGACGTTTGCACAAATTTTTCTCTTTTCATAATTAACCCTCCTTGGTGTATGATCACAAAAATGACCTCTATATGAACTCATTAAATTCTATTTGTCTGAATTTTATCCTTTCTGAAACTAGCATTACGTAAATTTAATAAATATGACTACATAAATTGTATTATAAAAAATAAATTGTAAGAACACTCTTTAAATTTACTTGAAACCCATTTACCAATGTTTTACAAAGAATCCTAAAAAGCCCTTTAAAAAAAAAAGTCTAGTTTTCAGTATGCAACTTCATGTAAACATACAAAAGAAAATCTTAGTTTGCTAGGACCACCATAACAAAATCCCACAAATGTTATGGCCTAAAACAACAGAAATGTATTGTCTTACAATTCTGGAGTCTTAAAGGCCACAATCAAGGTATCAGCACGACCAGGCTCTCTGTGAGACTCCAGATAGAATTCTTCCTGGCCTTTTCCTAGCTCTGGTGGTGGCTATCAATGATTGGCATTACTTGGCTTGCAGCTGCATCAGTCCAATGTCCGCTCCATCATTACATGGCCATCTTCACATCATCTTCCCTTTGTGCATGTCTGCTTTGTGTTCAAATTTACCTCTTTCATGAGGACACCAGTCATATAATATTAAGTCCCACCTTAATCACATCATTTTAACTACATTTCCTCTGTGCTAAAATCTAAATGTTTGTGTCCTCCTCACATTCATGTATTAAATCCTAATCTTGAATGTGATGGTATTAGGAGGTGGGGCCCTGGGAATATGATTAGATCATGAGGTACCACCCTCATTATTGGGGTTAATACCTTTATAGAAGAGACCCCAGAGAACTAGCTAGCCCCCTCCCCTAAGTGGGGACACAGCTAGAAGTTCTATCTTTGAGGAAACTGGTTTTCACTAGATGCCACTGGTGCCTTGATCTTGGGCTTCCCAGCCTGCATAACTGTGAAAAATAAATCGTTGCTGTTTATTAGCTACTCAGTTTTTGGTATTTTATTATAGCTGCCCACATAGTGTAAGACACTATGTGAAGATCCTATTTCCAAATAAAGTCACATTTTAGGGTACTGGGCTTAGGACTTCAACGTATTTATTTATTTATTTATTTATTTATTTTTGAGTGACACAATTAAATTGATAACAGGAACCCACAGAAGGGCATGCAATGATGTCAACAAAAAAGGATATGCTAAGAACCTGACAACAATACTAGGGCCTGAGATCAATGAAGCCTCATTCCAAATATTAAAAATAAGGTAAGAAAGAAAGAAGAAAAAACTAGAGTAGGAAAGAAGAACAAAACTCTCAGCATAAACAAAAGGAAGAAATACCTTATAAATCTCAATTATACATAATGAAATACTTGATATCATGATAGAATTAATATTCAGTATCCATGATGACTCCTAGCTATCAATAATGAAATCAGTAATAAAATGATTATTTTAAAATAACAATTTTTTTTTTTTTGAGATGGCTTCTCACTGTTGCCCAGGCTGGAGTGCAATGGCATTTTCTCAGCTCACTGAAACCTTCGCCTCCCAGGTTCAAACAATTTTCCTGCCTCAGCCTCCTGAGTAGCTGTGATTACAGGCATGCACCACCACACCAGGCTAATTTTTGTATCTTTAGTGGAGACGGGGTTTCATCATGTTGGCAAGGCTGTTCTTGAACTCCTGACCTCAAGTGATCCACCCACCATGGCCTCCCAAAGTGCTGGGATTACAGGTGTGAGCCACCGCACCTGGCCCAATTATTAATATTTTATTTTTAATATATTATAGATTACAGGCTATTAAAGAGATAGTAAATTTTATATACAATTTTACATACTTGGAAAAATACTAAAAACCTTTTATATGTAAATGGTCTTTATGTCATTTACTCTATCAGGAAAATAGGTTATTGAAAAGCATATTATTTCCCTGTAGTGCTAAATGAATTTAATGTAGCATTATTATGATCCCATTTCAATTTTGAAATTTGTTTTCTTGAAACAATATGAAATATTTCTTCTCATCTAACTTTAAAGAAAGCAAAAGTTAACACACAATGATGAGAATAAAGTGAAAATATAAAAATGTATAAAGAAGCAAATAATTAGAATGCATGCAAGTCTTTGGAAAGTTTCTCAGAGTAACATTGTAAATGATAGCCCTGAGCAAAATATCATACACTGTTCTGAAGTGTCTTAAACAGATGCATTCTTATGAAATATGAAACAATTATTTTTAAAAAACAGCTAATTTTTCTATTCAGTTATCAAGATTATGAAAAGGTAAAAAATCATTTTAATGACTACATGCAAGCATTTTTTTTTGCAATCCTCATTGTGGTCAGAAATGCCATTTTACACCTAGTTCTAGTAGTTCTGACTACTTTATCACATCTGAGATTTCTCTAAGTAAACTGAATATAGAAAGGAAGCATTCTAATATTTATTCAAATATGATAATCCATCACGCTAGTTTAAAGTCTTTTAATAGCTCCTTGTATTCCCAATTTTGACATTGCTAGTCGTTGGTTCTTTAACTCAGTTTCCCCCCTTTTTCCTTAGCCTAGTTTCTGAATTAAACATCTAGCCATAGGGAATGATTTGAAGTCTCAGAAAGTACCTATTTTAACTTGATAACTTTGCAAAATCTATTTACCGTGACTTAAACAGCATTACCCAATCTTTCCCTAATTTTCACAGAAATGATTTTTGTTCACTTTTTATATTTCTTATTGGATATAATCTAATTCAGCATTCTCAGTAAATGACCCAAGATTGCATCAGCTTCTGCTTATCCACGTTTTCAGAGTAGTCTATAACATACCATTTATCACACACTATTGAAACTAACCACAATCTTGTGTTCTTCCTTATACAGTACCATCTAATAGAGAACAAGCCTGTGTCTTACGTACTATTTTATTTCCAGAATCTAAACACAGTGTGACCTATGGCATGGGCTCAATAAATAAATGTGTGCATACGTTTTTATTTCTAATATTATTTTTTCTGTTTCTAACACATATGTGAATATGAATGGTTTTAAACAATAATTCTTCCAAAAATTTTTAACTTAATTAAATTGCAAACATAATTTATTTCATCTGTAGTCAAAATTATACAAAAAGTGTTTCAATTTATAATACACTTTATTTTCATCTATTAAATGTATTATTATATACACAAAATATTCATTTTCTTGATAAATATATGAAAAACATTTAAAAAATATGAACCACCAATTGGTTTTCTGGAATTCAATCTTTTACTCTGTAATCCATAAGATTTATACAAAAGTAATAATTATATTCCATCTTAGCATTTATTTGGAATAGTATGTATTCCTTACCTCAGCAAAAGACATTTACAGTACATGCAAATTTTAATAATATTTTATACAAAGTAGGGTGGATTCAAGGGATTTTATGTAAAGAAAATGATTTTTTAAATTTGTAAAACCTGTAATCCCTTTTCTCCTAAATGCCAAATTTTGGCAGGAAACCAATGTACAAAAATTGATGTAATAAATGATAAAACAATAATTCCTACTTCAGTAGAGTGCACAGCACTGTAGATGTGACTCGTTTAATATTTCTTGTTATTCTCTAATACCATATGTGTTTTGTATAAGTTAGCAATAATGTTTGTTATGATTATGCTCAATAATTTTCATATAAGCTTGTGATATGTAGCAGTACTAATTCACCAAATAGTCCTGATTCCCTACCTGACATGTTATTTTCTGTACGAGCATTATATTATCTTCTCCTGTTTAACGACACTCTTGGCTATATAACTTTTCCAATAAAGTGTGTGCGTGAATAATAGGAATCATGTCTTTTCTGAGCAGAAGTTTTCAGAGTAGCTGGGGGTGTGTCATGTTTCTTTATCCACTGCCCTAAGACCAACGAAATGTCCTAGATAAGTGATGCTAAAATACTGTAAATTCCAGATAGATAGCAGGAAACAAAGGTGTAGTTGACCCACTTGCTAGTTCTCCTGCATAGCAGCTGTGTAACCTTTAACTCATTACTTAACCCCTTTAAACATCAATTTTCTTATCTGGAGATATAATTAATGACATATTTTCAGAAATTTCATTTTTTATACAAAACTAAATGCATCTGAAGGGACCAGCCAAATATCTTGAGACAATTAAACAATAATTGGAAATCTCTGTTCTTAATCTTTGAAATTTAGGTGGAGAAAGGGTACTCTATTTTTTTAGTAGGAATGTGTGAATTTTTAAAATTCAGAAAACAATGAACCACTATATACCTTTCACAAATGTTAATATTAATTACTGAGAAAAGTAACCAATTAAGAATACAAGTGATTATTAATTACTAATATACTGAATTATTTTGCTCATCAGTATTTAAAATTAAACTACAAAATCACATCATTTCATCCCCCAAACACATTAGTATGTATCTTTTAAATTAAGGACATCCCCAATACTGTACAATTATCATGCCTAATAAATTAGTGCCTCCTTAATTTCAGTTAAGACTCAATATATTTTCAAATGTTACTAATTGTTCGCAAAATAGTTATACATTTGTTTTTTGCAGTAGGATTCAAACACAGTCTTCTTATTACTTTGTCTTATGTTTCTTTATTTTTGTGCAACATTTTTGGAAAAGTTTTAAATATAAAAAAGTAAAAAGAAATAATACAATTAACACCTATTTACTCAATATTTATTTTTGCTAATTGCTAGCATTTTGCTATGTTTAATTAAAATCTCTATATATGTATCCAAATATTTATTAATAATAGTGCTAAGACATTTTAAAGTATAGGTCCTGACAATTCATCCCTAAAAATTCATAACACATCTGAATAATAAGAAAAATTCTCCAACATAATTGTGATACCACAGACACATAAAATTTATAATAATTTTTAATATCTAATACTCAGTTCATTTAAATATTTCTGAGATGTCATTAATTAGCTGAGATGAAAAGACAAACAGGTAGAAAATAAGTGATTTTTTTTAGAAAAGCCCACATAAGAGTTTGCTTTCAGGCTTTGTGATATAGTTTAGATGTTTCAACCCCTCCAGAGCTCATGTGGAAATGTAATCCCTAATATTGGAGGTAGGGCATGGTGGGAGGTGTTTGGATCATGGGGGCAGATTCCTCATGAATAGCTTGGTGCTGTCCTTGCACTGAGAGTGAGTTTTTGCTTTCAGTTTTTGTAAGATCTTGATGTTTAAAAGAGTGTAGCGCCTCCATTTCTTTCGCTTTCTCATTAGCCATGTGACTTGCCTGCTCCTGCTTCACCTTCTGCCATGAGTAAAAATGCCCTAAGGCATCACCAGAAGCCAAAGACATGCCAGCACATGCTTCTTGTACAGCCTTCCAATTAAACCTCTTTTCTTTATCAATGACCCAGTCTCAGATATTCCTTTAGAGCAATACAAAAATGGACAAATATACCTGAGTACCACAGCATCAAAATGCACATATTTTTATGAACAAATATGAAGCACAATCCTTAAAAGCAGCTTGGAAAGGAGTTATATAAAAATTGCAAATCACTCAGACTATTCGACTGTCATAAGAAGTTAAAAGACACCTGATACAGTTTGGCTGTGTCCCCATCCAAATCTCATGTTGAATTTTAACTCCCAGTGTTGGCGGTGTGGCCTGGTGGGAAGTGATTGGATCCTGTGGGTGGTTTCTAATGGGTTAGCACTATTCCACTAGTGCTGTCTCATGATGAACTTCTCAGGAGATCTGCTCGTTTGAAAGTGTATAGCACCTCCCCCTTCACTCTCCCTTCCTCCTGCTCCCGCCATGAAGATGTGCTTGCTTCTCCTTCACCTCCACCATGACTGTAAGTTTCCTGAGACCTCCCCAGCCGTGCCTCCTATACAGCCTGTGGAACTGTGAGTCAATTAAACCTCTTTTCTTTATAAATTACTCAGTCTCAGGTATTCTTTATAGCAGTGCGAGAATGGACTAACACAACACCTATCACTGAAGGGAAATCACTAAAAAATACTAAATTAGATAACTGAATTCCTGAAAAGATAATGAATAGAGGTAATTAGAAAGGAAGATTTTTTCTTTTAATTGGAGAGTGGAAAATTATAACGGGGAAATGTTTAGTGACATGTATGGAGAAGGAATCATTTACATAAAATACATGCCCAGGACTTTAGGAAGTTTTTGGTTTTATTTTTGAAGAATTTACTGTGGATACCAGAAGCTCTTTTGAAAAGGCTTGGTTAGAAAGAGTCCAGTAGCATAAAGCTTTGTTAGAAATATGCCAATATGGTGCCTATCAATTGTTCTCTATATGCTTACTTATTTAATATTGGAGTGCTAACTACTGTCTGAAAACTTGGAGAATGAAAGTGAAACGCTAAGGCAGTTTCTTAAATGCTTTATCTCACAGAGTAAATTGCAAATATGGTACAATAAAGAACAGAAGGAGAAGATAAGCTAATGAACGTTGATAAGACACAAGTGGGTTTCTCAAGACAAGTTCATAATAAAATTAATCAATTATGCTTACATTTAGGAAGGCTGTTCATTCCGCCCTAGCAGATGGTAGCACAATAGCATTCCTTAAACACTGTTGGAAGTGGCAGTGCGTGGTGATGGCTGCTGATGTATTACACTCATACTTTTTTAGAGTGACAGCACTCTTGATGATGTATTATACTAATATTGCAGTTTACCACATGAGCAGTACTCTGATGATGCATTACAGCAATATATCATCAAAGCAGTTCTGTTTGTTTTCTTTCTCACTAATCTAAGTCAAGCCCAAAATTCCGTTAAAAAAGTAAATCTTTGGCTTTCAACCTGTTTGCTGGGGGGGAAAAGGCCTTTGAGAAAAAGTATGAAACTTGTAGTTACTATAAAAATGCAAATGACTGCAAAAATTTAATCATTATTTTGCTTTAGTGTTAAAATTTGCATTCTGAAAGCTTGACTTAAAAATAATAATACAGATATGCAACGGAATTTTGCTTTACATCAGCAGAACAAAATTTTGTATTCAGTGTATCTACAAATAAGTTCCAAATATGGACAGAAAATACTAAATAAGGCTAAGGGCAGAGATAATGCTTTATTATGTAGTTAAGTGACTGATAAATTAAATGAAACTAAATTATTTGTATTGTCTGTCTTCATTTAAGAAAACAAACGTCCACCATTATACAATAAGGAATTAGCATGTGAAACTTCTCCATTTTCTCCAGTAACCAGGAAACTTTGCTATGAATGATTATGTGATTACAAAAAATAGAAAATGTAACTTAATTCTGGATAATGGATGGAATCTGAGATTTATTTGAGGAGTACATGGGGGGAAGAAGAGGAAAAATAAAGAAAATAAGGGAATATTGGATACGTCCACTAGCAGAAAGTTGAAACTCATCAATAGAATCACCTGAGACAAGTCTGCTCTGAAATGTAAGGTTGATTATAAATGGGAAAGAACCAGAAAATGCACCAGGGGGATACTCTTGGTGTACAAAGAGTAAAGAGCAATCTTTAGGGCACTCTTGAGTAACAATAACCTCTTACCCACACTCACTTAAAAATAAATAAAATTTTATTGGTTACACTGCATGCTGAAATGTCCCTGCTAGGGGGAGAATCATCATGATACAGACCACATAGAATAATCTGCAAATAAGATGATTTAAAGGGAGAGGAAAGAGAATTTGACACAAATAATTTTAAAATAAATCATATTTCTAGAAACTTTCCAAAATTAGTAGATGATTTAGATGTAATAATTTTATATTATAGGAAAGCATAACATTTCAGACCATAAAGTAGTATTGTACTGTTGATGCTTTTGCTAACAAATCTAAGTTGTGCCTCGCTATATAAATATTTTTCCTCATAATTATGAAAATACATGTGCTAGAAAGAGGATGTGTAGTAACCTCCTCAATGGTATTAGTTGTCTTAATTTGATTTAGCAAATAACAAATTTAAATACTAATTCAATTGTATAAAAGCTAACAGTTTTACCATTACACATTTTTGTTTGCTGTCTTTCAAATGGCAATCTCATTAAGCATAAAGCTTAATTATATCATTATATCCAAGTAGATGTGAACGTATCACCGTATATCTATTAAGTTAGAAGAACTGACAAAAGCAACCTAACAAAAATAATTAATCATATAATTAACATAGTTATAATATGCTTGAGGAGACACAACTCAGAAAACAATGCTTTGCTCTATAAAGTTCTATAAAGTCTGCCATGCATTAGAGCATTCAAGATCTCATTGTATCTCTGCGTTGGCTCTGAAAAGTGAATAACACATGGGTTTAGACCTTGAATGGTGGATTCCAGAAAATCTAGGTTTCATTCTCAATACTTTTGTTTACCATATGTGGGGCCTTGAATTAATTAAACCTCTTAGTATTTCTAAGCCTCAATTTTTCTCATCAATCATAATATGGTTTTTAAAGGTCTCATGCAGTATTTGGAACACTGCAAGCACTCAATACATACCATTATTATCTGTTTTATCTTAATTTTGAAATTTAAAAACTAAGGACCATTTTTTGTAAAGGACACTCAGAGAGGGAGAGTTGAATCACAAACTAGATTTCTTGACTTCTATGTGACTCTGATAGACAATTCAATCTTTCATACAAAGTCTTATCAACCACTGTTGGGGTAGGTGACAATGGCTTAATATGTTTCTGTGTATGTTTGTTTTTCTGAAATAAATCTAGACTGCTATAAGTTCACTGACTATATTAATTCTGGGAAAGTTTCTTAGATGAGAAGTATTAAATTAGTATTTAAAATTTTGCTTTTTAAAATTGTATACAAAACCTGACTTCATTGGTGAGAATGAAAAGGAAATAACTACAATAATGTACTCTCCTAATCAGGATGGTGATCCTGACATGGAGTTGAAGACAGAGATGTAACAGGATTGGGTTGAAGAAAAATAGAGATATTCTATTAAAAAATAACGTTTCTAAATTAATTAACACACAGTGTACTAAAAAGGTATTTTCTCCACTACTTGAAAGCTGGGGAGAGGTAAGTAATAAACACTAAGAATTATGGGCCTTGAGTTTCTTTGTAGATGACAACCAGGCACAAACACAAGCAAGAAGCTTTGAGGTCTCTGCCTTCCAAATGCGCCTGTGAGCATGAACAAAGTCTACTTTCTAGTGACAAATACCAACTACAGAGCAGAACACCAGTTCCCAATTTATCTACAAATACATACATCCATGTGTATATATACAAACAGCTACGTATACACACATACATATACACAAATCACACACACAACTGCACAGAAGGAAGCATCCAGGAAGCCCAAATACACAGAGACTAAATTTCCTATGTAGTAGGATTTAAGCAGATGATATTTGAATTGGAAAAGAAAAATTATATTTTTTATAAACTAGGGAGGCTGAGTACCTTGTTACCCATCAAAAAAAGCAACTTTCACATTGGCTGCTGTCGAATTCCTGTAAGTTGTGGCATGACCTTGGGGATGTTATTTAACTTCCCTATACTTCAATATCTTCATCTGTATGATGATATCAGAAATACCTATAATATAGATTTGCTATGGGAATAATTTGATTGATATAAAAATATAAAGCTAGTCTAATACAAGTTTAATAAATAGTTATATAACTATGTGCATGCTATGCAATAATTTATGTTGGTTACAAGAGCGAAATTTCTATGTAATAACAAGTAATGATAACTTATTTCATGTAATTGGAGGCAAATGTGAGCCAGGATTCAAGAACACAAGGGATATTTATCAGAATAACTTGGATAATGTAGAATAATTAAGTTTCTAGTCACTGTGGACTTCTATATTTATAAAACTACATGCTGCTTCTATAACTGAATAAAAAAGAAACTACACACCAGCCTGGGATATTTGCATGATTTTATTACTAAAGATAAATAATTCTATATTCTCTCTAGGATACAGTTTCAGGAAAGCAAAAGATAAATAATTCAATTTAGGAAAATGTAACCCTGTATTTAGTTTAGGAACTTGTATTCGCTTTGCAGAACTCTGGAATCATTACTGATAATTATTATCATAAGAGTAGTCTGCCTAAATATTTTGATACCATATGTGATCTCAGGTTATGAAAAAGTTTGGCTAATAATTATTTAGTAGTATATTTTTCAAGATAAAATCGCTTTCTAAGGAATGAGCTCACACGTATATATACGAGCAATTTGTTAATTTTGAAATTAGTTTGCACTGAGCATATCAAAATGATAATTGTCGGATACTTAAAAATAAAATGAGTAATAGAACAATAAATTTACTTATAAAAATTTGTGATTAGGTAAGTTAAACTACTTGTGGTTATGTTTTTAAAAATATCAGACTTTGCATATTATAGATAAATTTAATATGAAAAGTTGTATTGACCTCTGCTACATCTCCAATTGCAGAAATTCTAAAACATATTTTAGGAGTGAATATTTATGATAAAATATGTTCCTTAGATCTAAATACTTCATGCAAATTAACTTGCCTTTAAAAAATTGTAAGGTTATTTTTTCTCCAGATATGGAAATAGAGTGTTTCATTTTTCCTTTTTAGAAGATACATTGCTTTTCCATAGCATTAGGAAGGGCATAAACTAAACATAAGAGAAGGCTATGTTTTATTGGTCTAGATTTAAAAAGGTAACAGAACATTTGAATTTGAAGGGACTTTAAAATAATCATTTAACCCAAGCTCTGCACTTTATGAAGGAGACAACAAAGCCCTCAAGAGTGACTTGCAGAAAATCAAAGTAGCTACTGGCAGAACCATCAGTGGAAATCAGGCCTGGTTCTTTTCCAAGTTGTGAAAAAATTTGTGCTCATTTTCTAATACGTAAAACATTCAAAATTATTTATGCAGTTGTAATCAAACATCTTTGGAATGAGATAGTTGTGGAAGAAGGGTGTTCGGTGGGTGGCAGGGATTTTTCTTTACTGTGGATAGATTTAATTGTGTCTCCATAAAGGGTGCTGTACGTATTAATTGTGGGTCCCTTCAATGGCAGCCTGCACATTCAGCTGCAGGCTAGAGGCAATGGATTGCCAATGTAAGAGTATTTTGAAACTCATTAGCCTCTTGTGAGATGAGTGTTCAAATAAGCCTTACAGATACTTACAAACAGAAAGGAATGAATAAATAGCTCTGTGTTTTAATTGAACATTAAACACTAATGCTATTTTACTGTTTTTAATATATGTAGATTATTTTATTTCAAGCAAGTGATATGTAGAGCAAAAGAAAATGATAAATGAAACCTATCAGTAAAAAGCTATTTAGTGAAATAGGTCTCTGTGTATCAGTAAGGATGCCTTTATCTTACATTGTAAGGATTGAACATTATATTTAGATGAAAAAAATAAATAAAAACAGCTCTAGTGTTATATGTACAGTAGCATTGTAGTTTTCTAGTTTTGGGGGAAGTCCAGATGTTACCTACGTTTTATGTGATAGTCTCTATCAGCTCTTATTTTGAGACAGAGCTTCTACTCCTCAGAGTTTGAGTCAAGCATTCATGAAGTTAGAAGAGAAAAAGCCTCCTCAGTTTTTCCTTTGCGATCTCATTTTGGTTCTTTATTCTCCTAGATAGCATCTCAGTCAATTGTCTCCTATGTTTAACCCCTAAGATATATTACCATCCAGGTTCTAAGCTATTTTTATGTAGTCCATATATTTCCAATTCTGCAGCCTTCAGAGGCTATACTTTTTTATTAATAGCCAAGAAGCCTAAACTAAGCTTCCACTTGGGCTGCCTTAGGAAAAAAGGCTGATTTATTACGTTTTTGAAAATCATCGATTCATGCTTATATATTCCCTGCAGAACTCCTATTTGCTTAAGACCACCACTGTGCTATCTTCTACTCTAGGTAAAAAGAGTCCTAGGGAATGATATGTGATCCATGTCGGCTCACCAACTTGGGACACAGAAAAACCTT